>NC_000006.12:68367957-68670988 GCF_000001405.40 Homo sapiens | reverse complement strand
AACATAACCAAGGAAGTGAAAGATCTCCATAAAAAAACTATAAAATATTGATGAAAGAAATTAAAGAGGACACCAAAAAAATTGAAAAATATTCAATGTTCATGGATGGAAGGAATCAGTATTGTTAAAATGTCCATACTACTCAAAGCAATCCACAGATTCAATGAAATCCCTATCAAAATACCAATGACATTCTTTACAGAAATAGAAAAAAGATCCAAAAATTTGTATGGAACCACAAAAGACCCAGAAAAGCTAAAGCTATCCTAAGCAAAAAGAACAAAACTGGAAGAATCACATTACCTGACTTCAAATTATGCTACAGGGCTATAGTCACCAAAACAGCATGGTACTGGCATAAAAAACAGAAACATAGACTCATGGAACAGAAGAGAGAACCCACACACCTATACTGAACTCATTTTCAACAAAGTTGCCAAAAACATCCATTGGAGAAAAAAGACAGTCTTTTCAAAAAATGTTACTGGGAAAACTGGATATCCATATGCAGAACAACAACACTAGATCCCTGTCTCTCATCAAGTATAAAAATCAAATCAAAATGAATGAAAGACTTAAATCTAAGACCTCAAACTATGAAACTACTACAAGAAAACACTGGGGAAAATCTTGTGGCCACTGGTCTGAGTGAAAAGTTTCTTGAGCAAGACCCTACAAGCACAGGCAACCAAGGCAAAATAAATGGGCTCACATCCAGTTGAAAAAGCTTCTGCACATCAAAGGATACAATCAATGAAGTAAAGAGACAATTCACAGAGTGGGAGAAGATATTTACAAACTACCCATCTGACAAGGGATTAATAACCAGAATATATAAGGAACTCAAACAACTATATAAGAAAAAAATCCAATAACCCAATCAAAAAATGGGCAAAAGATTTGAATAGACATTTCTCAAAAGAAAGAACACAAATGGCAAACAGACATACTAAAATGTGCTCAACATCACTGATCATCAGATAAATGCAAATCAAAACTACAATGAGATATAATCTCACCCCAGTTAAAATGGCTTATATCAAAAAGAGACAATAACAACAGCTAGCAAGGATGTGGAGGAAATGGAAGTCTCATACACTGTGGGTGGGAATGTAAGTTTGTAAAACCACTATGGACAACAGTTTGGATGTTCTGTAAAAATCTAAAAATTGAGCTACCATATTCACTGTTGGGTATATACCCAAAAGAAAGGAAATCAATACATCGAAGAGATATCAGCACTCCTATGTTTGTTGCAGGACTGTTTATAATAGCTAAGATTTGGAAGCAACCTAAGTGGCCATCAAAAAAATGAATGGATAAAGAAAATTTGGTATACACACACACACACACACACACACACACACACACACACACACACACAATGGAGTATTATTCATCCATAAAAAACTGGGATCCTGTCATTTACAACAACGTGGGTGAGACTGGAGATCATTATGTTATGTGAAATAAGCTCAGCACAGAAAGACAAACATGGCATGTTCTCACTTATTTGTGGGATCTAAAAATCAAAACAATTGAACTCACGGACATAGAGAGTAAAAGGATGGTTACCAGAGGCAGGGAAGGGTAGTGGGGGATTGAGGGGTAGATGCGGATGGCTAATGGGTACAAAAGAAATAGTTAGAACAAATGAATAAGAAATAGAACAGATGTTGTGCTATAAAATAGCACAACAGGGTAATTGTAGTCAATAATAATTTCATTGTACATTTTTAAAAAACTAAAAGAGTGTAATTGAATTGTTTGTACCTCAAAGGATAAATGCTTGAGGGGATGGATGCCTCATTCTCCATGACGTCCTTATTTCACATAGCATGCCTGTGGAAACATCTCATGTATTCCATAAATCCCATAAATATATACACCTACCATGCGCTCACACATTTTTTTAAAAATTATAAAAATAAATACATACATACATTCACAAATATTTTCTCAGTGCTAGCTCCTTTGTTAGGTGTTCCCATCCTAAAATTAATTTAGACATCTCTTATTCACCAGACCACAGGAAGAAATATACAATGCTACGGGATGATTACTTTATAAAGTTTTCCTTATTGTAACAAGAGAACCTGATCAACTTTGGGGGAGTCCGGAGAAGTCTCTTCCAGAAAGTGATACTTAGGGTAAGAAGTGAAAGATGGGTATGTGTTAATTATACTTTGGAGGTAGAGAGAAAAGAAACTCGAGGTTCTAGTAAAGGTAATAGCTTATATATGGGCCTTAAAGCATTAAAAAGTGGTAACAGTAAGCTAGCAGGCGATGAGGATGAAGACTGGAAAGAAGAGCATTTCCCACCATTCCAAACTTAAGAAAATTACAGGGAACTCTGGTCCTAGAGAATAAACACCATCTTTCTTGGCATACAAGTTAATTAGTTCACAATTTGAAAATAAATTATTTCCTATATCTAAAAAACTATGAATATGAGTTTTGACATATTTCTTCATTAAACTGATAGGAAATTATATCCTCAAAATCCATAAAAATGAATACAATTACCAAAGGAAAAAGAACTTGTGCTGATTATAGCAGATATGATGGATTGGAGCTCACTGTCTATTATAGCTTCCTAATATGAATTCCTGTGCTGTCAATTTTGAAGGGCTAAAATCTACATTTTGCAGACTTCCCTGTCGGTAGGGTTCCGGATGTGATTTAGTTTCAGCTTATTAGACACTGTTATACAAGATTTGAAAGAGAGATGTTTTTTCTGCCATAAAGATGGCCATGAAAGCATTTTGTCCTTTGGGGGATCATTCCACTATTGATGCTTATGAAAAGATTTAGCATGAGGCTTCAGTTTTTTGGCTCTAGCAGCTGCTACAGTTTGGAACCAATATTCTACATGGTAACTTCCTGTTCTCTAACTTGCAGGAAAGGGGATTATCATCAGTTAGCTTATACTACATGGTACTTAGTAGCTTAAACAATCAACATTTATAGTTTCACAAGGTTATGTGGCTTGGCTCGGTGGTTCTGATCCCCAGGATGTTCTGCTAGGGCTGGATGGTCATATATGTAGGTCCGAGGCTGGTGTGGCTGGAATTGTTCAGTGTAGCTGGGATTGTTCTAAATGTGGGGCCTCTCTCCTGTGGTCTCTTATTTTCCAGAACACTAGCCCTAGTCGCAGACATTTTTCAGTGTACCAGTGGCCAAAGTATATCACATGATATAGTTAATTGAAAACATGGCAAGAAAATTTTACAGCTCTGTTTCACTGACTCTTGAATCTGGGCTGGCCTTGTTATAATAGTTATTTTGACAAATAGAATATGGCAAAAATAACAACATGCAGCTTGGGATCCTAGGTATAAAAAAACCTTGGAGTCTCAGAAATTTCTGTTTTCCTGGAAGAAAGTTAGTTATGAAATTTTGTTCTTATGAATGAACTATTTATTATACTGATGTAAATATTTATCTGAAACACATATTATTCTAAAAATTGTTTGACTTTCTCAGGTTCTACGGATATAAATTCAGACTGGAATCATTCCTAAAATTTCTTTCAAGATTATAATATTAGGTTAAAGAGAAGACACAGAACTATAGACACTAAGCAGGGGAAGACCTATGAATTAGCATTTTAGCATGCACATCCAGGTTTAGTAGAACTGTGAAACCACCAGGTAGCTTTGATGGTTTTGCTTAAATCTATAACATTAAATTTCTAGCTGAATTGCACTATGAACAAATAATCACTTGTAAATCTTACAAGTTCCTTCCTTTTAAGTAATGGGAGTGTTTCTAATCATTCTACAATTATGATTATAAGTTGAACTTAGCCAATGATACCAGTTTGATCTTTATATTTTATAAAAGTTACATTACATTTTCCCCTAAAGTTTAAAAAAGTACCAGCTCTATGTTCTATATATAATATAATTCTATATATTCTGGCATGGTTTATAATGCAGTTTGACTATACAGTAATCCATTACAACTACTGAATGACAACTACAATTTTCCAAGTAGTATTATTAATACTAAGAATAGTGGGTCAACTTCATATTTGTAGAGAACTAAAAATAACCACATTAATTTGGATATGATACTTTTTTTCAGAGAGTACAAAACACTTTCCTTTAAATTATCCCATTATCTCAATCATTGGCCACTAAAATTCCATGTATTTCTTATCAAGGTCATTTATCATTTCTTTTTTTAGGGTAAGTCATCCAACTACATTTATTAAGTTCAAAATAAGTTCTAGTTATGACATTAATAAGTTTTCAAAAATTATTCTAAGAAGAAATAAAAATAGTTAATGACAAAATTAGACGATAAGGTAGAATTTTAATTTGCTACTTTATTTATAATTCTTAATTTCAGAGAAATTAAGAATAAAATTTTTCTCAAAATATCTTGATAGACTTTACAATGAGCATTTACAAAAACCACAATGTTATTCTCTGGGACCTATGACTAACTTGCGTGTCAACAGAACAGAAGAAAGCATTTCTTCTGAGGGGACTAGGACAATTACAGGTATCCATCAAAAAGTGTAATGATAGGGACAAGTGGATTGAAAAAGGACCCATTTGTTCAACTCTCTTCTAAATGGGAACAGTCACATGAATAGACAACTTTAATGGTGGAAGAGAACATAGAGATATAGGTCAAGAGCCAAAATCTCAAATTCCTTCCGTGGTCACACAACTAGCATAAATGTATGAAGTGGCTACACATGAGCTAATTCTGAGTGGCAGAGACTGAAGGAACTAGTGACACCATGCCCTGACTGAAAGCATTTAAGTTTCAAACATGCCTTAAACACTGAGCTAATACATCAAAATGTTTCTTCAGGTAGACTCAGGTCTGCTAGTTTGTGATTCGAGATCTTGTCTATGAGATATTTATTAATGAAGAACATGACACTCAAAGATAGGAAGTGTCTCGCCTAAGGTCAGAGGTAAATAAATCCCATGAATATATTCCAAATGGAATGCACACCAAAATAGTTAAATGTCACTATATAAAACCAAATATTATGTTTATTTATCATTTGATGTTAGATAAACTTCTAAGAGATCATACTGCACTGCTAATCTTGGGATTACAAAATTTAGACACTAATATAGGATGTTTATGTGATATACATTTATATTACTATAGTATTTAACATAAGAGCTCTGTACATGAATACAAAGGTGTTAACTTATAATCCAAATCATAAGTATAAATTATTGGAAATATTTTATTTCCCTAATTAGTATATTCAGAATAAAGTATTTATAGTTATTAATTTGAAGAATTTAAAGAGATATCCAAGCAAAAACATATTTAATATTAGAAAAATGAAGCCCCAATTAGCAATGATGATGTTCATGATAGTTTAACATTATCGTGTAACTATCATGGTATGTGGTACTTGTCTAAACACTTTGCATATGTTGGTCAGCTCCATTAAACCCCAACAGAGCTCTGTGCAATAGGCACTGTTATTGTTGTTGTTGTTTTCCTCCAGAGATATTCAAGTTATACCAAAATACCTAAGGTCCGATAATGTTAATTTAGATAAAATTATTTTGAGGAATATATTTTGGACTCCAATTAAATACTTCAAAGAATTAGCATCTTTTTTATCTTTTCTTCCAACTCTTGAAACCCAATTGGCACAACAAAACAAATATAAAGAGAAAGAAAAACTATCCATTTACAGCAAAGAAATGAAAATACCATGACCCCAAAACACAAACTACAGAACCTACAAAATACCAAGACTATACTTTCAGGGATCATTTCTATAGTTTGTTACTAGAGAAGTTTCTCTGAACGTGTAGAGCACCGAGAACCTACAAAATACCATGAAATGAGAAGTGATGATAAAGAGTGGTCCTTCACTCTTCACCTTTCAAGAAGGACAGCATTCCCTAAAGTATCTTGGCCAGTAAAGAAGGCTGAAGGTGAAGCCTGGTGAAGGTGGGAGGGGAGAGATCTCGTGACTTAAAGAATCGAATCCAATTACATACACAGTACATGAACACCAAAAACTGAGAGATGAGCTCCCACCCAAAGATTGAGTAAGAATGTGTATAAGACTAAACTCTGATGGAAGCTGCTGCAGTCCACTCACTGTCAGCCACACTCTCCTTGTGCTCACTTCCCTCCAAAAGCCCCCTTCACCCTCCCTTATGCAATATTTCAGACAAATATTTGGAGGCAGTAAAGTACAGTGGTGAAGGCTCTGGAGACAGCCTGGGTTCAAATCATCATTCTACCACTGTGAATCCCTGGGCACGCTTAACTCTCTGCACAACTTTCTTATATAGGCCAGAAGAGCATAAAAATAGTAGGATTCAGAGGTATCTATCTTAGTCAGTTTGGGCAGGTGTAACAGAGCACAATAGCCTTGGTGGCTGATAAACAAAGGAAATGTATTTCTCATAGTTCTGGGAGCCAGAAGTCTGAGATCAGGTTGTCAGCATAGTCAGGTTCTGGTGAGGACCCTCTTCCATGTTCTTAGCCATTGACTTCTTTATGACTCACATGGCAGAAAGAGAACTTGCGAGCTCTTTGACCTCTTCTTGTAAGGGCAATAATCTCATTCACGAAAGTTCCATTCTCATGAACTAATTGTGACCCAAAGTCCCCAGCTCCAAATATCATCACATTAGCATTAGGATTTCAACATATGAATTTGAAGGATGGCAAAAACATTCAATCTCTAACAATATTTTATCCTAAATATAATATCAAACACATCTCAAACATTTTCATACTACTAAAAAAAAATCGGTATTTGAGAATGAGGGTACATCAGCTTTCAGTAATGATGTTACCATAAAAAATGTGCTTAAAATTATTTATTACGTTCTAAAAATGTAGGATGCTATGAGAAATAAAAGTAAATTAAGACAAATGAGAACACTTATCATTTTAAAAACGACAAATATCATTCAGCATATTCGACTCATTTTAAAATAATCCTTTTATCCCATGAATGAAATTTCTGAATTCAATTTTGCTGATGGTGACTTTCCTATTGACTCTCATGCTTTTAGTGAAAATTAAATTGCACAAAAATACCACACTGCAGATGTTTTAGTTGGGCTACTTGTAATTTATAGATAATGTAACTCTAAAGATCACAATGTGTAGCACGCTAAAATACTTGAATCATATTTGACTTTCACATATTTAATAACGAAGTTTCTAGATGAAGAAGAAACAGTAGAAAGCCAAATGCTCTCTTCGGCTTTTCATATTTAAGTCATGATGAAATCAAGGCAACTTGCTCATTGATAGTTGTAGAATTTCTGCCACTTTAAAATTATTTCTATTCAAAGCTTCAAAAGTTTCTATTCATGGCTCCTAAGGAATGAAGGCAAAAATTGAAGCAGGCGATTCTTTAAAGCAAAATATTTCTTTCATATTAACCCTGAAGTTCTACAATGCATTGCCTTCTATGGGCAAAACACACATGGATAGTAATGGCAGATCTAAGCAAATATACACAATTTAAAAAGGTACAAAATTGGTTGCATAAATTCAAATGTATATTTTTATCCTATTAATCTCAAGTTTAAAACTCCAAAAATAATTAATAAAATATAAATATTTTTCAAGTACTAGAATATAATTTTGTATTTTATATGATTTATTATGCAAATTTGGTAAATCACACATTTTTAAAATCTAAATGAAAGCTTGATTCAAAAATCAGGAAGCACTTCCAACAACTTTTCAAAATGGGTCTAATGGAGCAGAGTACTAAAAATTATATGATGAACACAAACTATAATTTATTGTTTACAAATGCAATGAAAATTCTTACTCAAAATTTAGTCTTCTTTGTATTTATTTATGAAACTTTAGGAAAATGAATTGAAATAACAGAGGTAAGTCAAAATAAAATAAAAGTTGTTTAAATGTTTATCTTATGTATTTCGATTTACTTTTCCATATAATATTGTTGAAAGCTGACTTCCATATAACATTGTTGAAAGCTGACGTAATGGGTTTACTAGAAAGTTATTATCTATTTAACCAAAAAGTTTATATAATATCAGAAAAAAACTTATACTATATATTATAATATAAATAATAGCAATTCTGGAAACCTTGGGAGTTAATTTTTTTTGTCTTCCCATTTTCCTTAGAAGTGAGTAGTTCCAAAATAGTGGTTTTGTAGTTAATTTGTCAAATCGAGTCAATAAAGAAAGGCACTAAATACTATTTTCATGATTCTCTTGGGATAACATTAACATATATGCATAACTGATTTTTAAAGCTACAAATAATATTTTTATAGATGATACATTGTGTTCTAAAGTTTCTATAGCAGATGAATTTTATATTCTAATACTGTTTTGAGATATACTCATTTATCACTTTTGTGTACGGACACTAGAATACAACTTTTATCTTTAACTCAGACTCCTAAAGCAATTGTTTAACAGATATTGAAAGAAATTTTTTTATAATTTTTAATACAACTTCTAAAACGCATGACCTGTGACCACAGCTTTAATTATTCACAAAACATTCCTTACTTAAGCCTCAGTATTCTGATTTTTCTTTTCAATATTTGACTAAATTGGAATAATACCCAAAATCTCGCCCTATCCTGGGAACTTCACTTAAATTCTCTCTTTATCTTAGATTATTTTTCTTATTGATAATGTAAAATAAATTTACCTCTGAAAATTAACTTAGACTCCCCTCTCCAATGGTTTCATATTTTCCCCAAAATTAGTAAGCACTAAAATTACATGAAAAGGACTATTCTAAGCTGCTCAGATTTGTTAATTTGTTATGTGGTAAATCCATAGCCATTAAGTGACAGAGCTATAATATCAAATTCTATTTGTTTTTACACAGGACATTGCCAATTTAATTATCTGCCAAAACCTCACACTCATCATTTCTGCACCATACTTGGCTCGACTTGAACCAGCTCCCCTTTGCAAATTCCTGACTTGTGCCAATATCACAATCATCAAAAGTGAAGCCTTTTATTTCCCTCTGGTACTTTGTTTAAAAAATTTATGATCCCTTGTCACTTTAAATGTCTCAAACTGATCACACTGCTTTTCATCATTGTTTTTCAATTACTTCTGTTGTAATCAATTTATTTTTGGATTACTGCAGAAGCCTCATCATGGTCCCATTAAGGCATCTGGTTCCCTATTCCCCTTCCCAGATAGTCTAATTTTGCTAGCTTAAATTTCACTCAACCTCTACCTCCTTCATGATAACTATTTGCCTGTCTCCCTCCACCCTGATCACAAATTCCTTCTGAAGTTCCCCCACTACCATTAGATTAAAATCAAAAGCGCCTAGCCTGTATTTATTTATTTAGCTTTATTTAAAGCTGTTTCTTTCACTCAAATTATATTCCTGCCAATCATTGAAAGTCCAATCTAAATCCAAATAGCCATAGGTCATAACTATATATATATATATATATATATATATATATATGTATACACATATATATATGTATACACACATATATATGTATACACACATATATATATGTATACACATATATATACACACATATATATGTATACACACATATATATATGTATACACATATATATACACACACATATATATGTATACACACATATATATATGTATACACATATATATACACACACACACACACACACACATATATATATATATATACACACACACACACACACACATATATATATATATTTTGGCCACCTATAATGTTTGTTTCTTCCCAATAATGGCAAAAACCTTAAATAATCTTCTCATTTTGGGTATTTATTAAATATATTCCCTATTTATATTCAGTGGCTCTGACTTGAAGGCTAATAATATAATATACAAATAAATCCTGTTTGCCATTACTATCTCATGTAATACTATACCTAGAGGCACTTCTTGAAAAATTAAGGTCCAAAAAACATTTTTTTGTATATAAAATCATTGAACTCATAGTATACTACTTCACTGTGATGCTTTATATATGTTAGTAATTATATATTTATAAATAAATACATACAAATACATAATTTTTGCAAAATGATTTTAGACTAAGAAGAAGGAAAACACTAAGAATCATGATTTTCTGACAGCCATTTATCCAGCTTATTTCATATAAATTGTGTACATGCCTGCCATCCACAACTATTGTAACATAGCATGAGTTAAATTAACGTTTTGCTGAAGACAAGAAACTTATGGCAAAACTCAATCCTATTTGTTGATAAGATCTTAAAAATTGGAATTACTGTGTAAGAGTAATTATAAAACAACATCCCTTGCTATGTAATTGAAGCATTTAGCTAGAGATGAGACATTTTAAAAGAAGTCCATCATGGTTTACTTTACAAGTGTTTCAATCTTATCTTTATTGTCATTCTATTAAATAAGCCTACAATATACCTAGAAATTTGGATATATGGAAGTAAAATTTTAAAAGGATGGAATATCAATTTGAGTGGCTCTGAATCATTTGTACCTTGAAAGGAGAATTCACATCATTAACTTCTGGTATGGCCTACACAAGGTAATTGTGTGTATAATGATTATTCATTTTTAAAATTAACTTAGAAAAGTAACTTTTTTCCCTGCGATCTGAGAATGCAGGCTCATTTAACACCTTCCATTGAAAGTATCCCAAAGTATCAACATACTAAATGAAAAAAAAAGGAAGTGATACATAAAAAAGATTCACTAAAAAAGGTAAAAACACATAATATTAAAATATATTTTAATACTGTACTTATATGAAATATATTATAAAATATATAATCTAAAAATATATTAAACATCTGAAAAGTTGTGAGCCTAGTCTTTATCTAGTCAACTCAACATTAATTTCTGCTGAATATGACATTGGCTATTACTATAATATTGTTTATTGCCTAAAATGTGCTTATACGAATTTCAAGGACATTCTATCATAATTATCTGTATTAACTTCAAGAACCGGCTTTCTTTGTCACATTTATATTAAATTGAAGTATGGTTTTAATCAGTGATATTCATATTATGCATATAAATTTCAGCTATTCTACAGTAAAGGATTCTCAATTTGTTTTTCAAGGAAAATCACTATGGCAAAAGAAAGCAAGAATTAATAGTAGTTAATCCTTCCTAGCAATTGTGTGTGCATGGAGGATCAGTGTAAAAGATGGTTACTGCTGTGTTAAGTTTCATTACTCCAGGTGTTAACCAGATGTTCAAAACAAGTAAATTGCCCTAGAATGGTTTTCTAAATTCTTCTTCTTAATCTGTTAAATTATGCAAATGCTAGAATATTTTTAATCGTGTACCTAAAGTCCTTTCACATAATTCGCATGATATAAGAATTCTGGAGTAATTTAAATACAACTTTTAAAAAGATAACATATAAAAATAATTCATATTAGAGATGACAGGATATATATTTGTGTTGTAATATAAATGTAATAGTTACAAATTACATTAAAAAATCAATAAAAGTCATTCTAAATATATTTATGGGGAAATATGCTTCTTCGCATATATAAATATGAAATAAATTCAAGAAAACAAAATAAATAAGAAAAAAAGGAAACTTTAAATCATCTTATGTACTTTACAGATAATTAATTTTGTTATATTTTCTCCTTCCTATTTTTTTACTGACAATGACCTACATAAGTTCTCTGAATTGTCTTTTTTTTTTAGAAAAAATGAAGTAGCTGTTTTTTATCAAGAAAAATAATTTTGTTTTGATTAGTTCCTCTGAGGAAACTGTCACATCCCCAAAACATTGAATCACTTATCATTTAAAAAAAATTGCATCAGCTTGATTTTCAGTAATTGAGTGTTACCACAATTAAGAAAATAGCACAAAAAAATTATTTTAGTTAGAATGGATCAGGATTTATTTTTTTCTAATAGGATATTTATTTTTGGTTCTCAGGTAAATAAAAGTTGAGAGTTACAAAAGAACTTATGAAAATTATTTTAAAGACAAAAATTAAATAAAATATTCTCTAAGCCAGGGAATGAACTTTTCACCTCTCTTTCTTTTACAGGTATCCTGTATCTTCTGGTACTAGAGATGCTTAATCTAACTATAAATTATTTTTGTCTAGTAGAAATGACATCTTACCAACTTAAAATCATTAAAAGATAATTGTAATTCTAGTTTTATTTTGATCTTCTATAATCATAATTACAGAAAAGATTAAGCAGCTCGTTGTGTTAATATGGTGCTAAGTAAAGTTCAAGGTAATTAAACAGCAAAGCCTTTAACATCTATGCCCCTGTAACCTAAGACATTTAAATTTTTCTAAAACAAAATGTTAAACATAGACTAAACTTATATCTAAATAAATATGTATACTAATTTAAAATGTAGCAATCCAAAAAACTTTGTATTAGTGAGTAAAAAGTAAACTTTGCATGTCTCATAGCAGGTCGAAATCAATACTCCATTTTTTATCACTTGGAGGTTTCCTGGGAGAGATGAGATTGCAGAATTCTTTGAGCAATAGGCTTGGTTAAAGAAGAAAGTCCTTTTATTAGTGAGGATACATGCAGGCTATAGCTTGGAAAACACTAGGTGGAAGAAACATTACCAGACAGAGGCCACTAAGCATATCTGGAGATGTACTTTGCAGGATTTAAAATACATATATTTTTCTATTTGAAACGTCCTATAGTTACAAAACATGGGATAAGCTAAGTTCTTTTTGAGTTTTTAACTAATATTGTGTTATATGTATCTTTACAGAGTGGTGGTATAGTGTAAGGGCTCAGAGAATGAACTTGAATTCAGCTCTGCCTCTTCTCAATGTGATACTATGCAAGTCACTTAACTTTTCTGTGTCTCAGTCTTTTCATCCAGAAAACAAAAGTAATAATAACAGCTATCTCATGGGGCTCTTAGGAAGAATGAAAGAGTTAATATTTAAAATTTTATCTGACACACAGGAATAATTCATTAGTATTGTGATTATGAAATACACAAATAAATAAATACAAAGTATGGGCTTAGTAGTCTGTTGTTTGTTCCATTTGAATTCTCAAAATATCTACTACAGATGGTAAATTTCCATTAACGGATTACTAAAATAGCCATTTCCCATAGATGCCAGGTTAACAGAAAAGTTTATACATTTGGGGTTAAGTTGTGCAATGCCAGTTGTGTTTAATTAATCAAATACATAATTAATCAAAATAGATATATTAGGCTGATATTACCTGAATTAAGCAAAGATCTATACAAATTTGCATATAGATTCACCTATTAATTTTGCTACACTTGTTCAAAGGCACAAAACTGAGTGTTTTTAAAAGTGTTTACAAAGTCTAAGGTTTGATAAAACCCTTTACAAGTTGAGTAAGTATTTTAAGTAGAAAGTAATAGGAAAATGTTTAGTTTATCTACTAAATTTGCTGAGTAATCCCATCAGAACAAAACCATGGCCAGCTGCTTGATCACATTTGTCCTCTGAAATAGTCCCACCTATCACCTGCAGAGGAGGACAGACACCAATCTGTAGTATTTTCAAGACTGATTCAAAAACATAGCATAAAATTTTGAAGCTCTGTTAACACGTTTCCATATTTTCGTCTGTTTAAAAATTTTTACTGATGTAAAATTTACCTCATTTGCATTCTTTAAAGACTAATACATTTAATTCTTAGTTACATGACATGGCACTGAGACCTAGGCTTATTTATATATAGCCTTTGCCCCCTACAGAAAACAAATAGTTCTGTAAAACTACAATATCTCCCAGACCATTTTTGTTTTTAGCACTTGGGGAAATTTTTTGATAAATCTTCATTTGTACTCATTTTCCTTTAATGCTAACTCTTGACTTTCCCAGGAAACACAAGGACAGAAAGGATGTGTTTATTTTTAGGCTGCTTGTCTGATTGATGTAAGAGTGGAAGCCTATTATAAAGCAACTCATTATATTTCTGATCTTCATCTACAGATGAGTAAAACTGGAATTGAATAAAATCGAAGTCATTATACTTCATTTTCTATGGGCAGCCTAAAACAACGTTTTAGATTACTTAAAAAACCTGAATTAAGAGAACTTCCCACTTCTGCATTATTTGTGCATTAATCTTAATATTGCTTTTGGTACAGACTATATTAAGAAAGAATAGATATGATTTCTATTTTGCAGATGCAGAAAATAAAGTTCATATTTTCTATGAACCAAACTGTGAAGCAAACTGCCAAAGGTCATACTAGTGGAAAGCAGGGTTGGGAGTGGAACTCTGAAATATGTGAATATGAAGCCGAAACTCATTGCTTCCAGTGATATAGAAAGTAAAAAGAAAAACCAAAGAAATAAATGTTTTCCTAACAGAATATCAGAGTCTTAATTTAAAATGTCAAACCCAGCAAATCTATCCAACAATTTGTGATATTTATCATCAAAGGACTGGACCATTATTTCACATACATACAGGCCAATGAACTAAACTAATAAATGTGAACAAATTTACAAGTTTATGTTGGCAATAATAATAATTACAACAACATTTTTGCATGCTGGTTTTCACTTTTCTAAATAGATTTCGTGTATATTACACTTTCCATATAATCCAGTGTGTTACAGATGATTATTTTGATCTTTATAACTGAGCAAACTGAAGTTCTCTCTAAGAGATTATGTGACTTGCCTGAATTTGCTCACACAGTAATGTCAAAATCTCCTCCAGAAGGTGGTTTTCTAATCCAAATTCTCTCCTAAATACAAAGGACTACAGAGAGTTAAAAGTCTAACGTCACATTTCTAATTCTCTTGTTTGTAATATCTAAAAGTAAAAGTTTCATAAAATTGAAAATAAAACAGTATGATCTTTTAAAAAATAGAATATGGATTTATATTTTATTGCTAGTTTCCTACATTAAGCCTAAGAATAAATGTTAAAAATGGAGGCAGCAAGCAAGATATTTTTCAATTGACTCTGCTCAGGAGGAAAAAGGCATTCAATACAGGCCAAGACATAAATTATACTTTGGTTACTTTTAACATGCATACCAATCCTTAGGAAAAAATCAGAATAGAGATTTTTAAGTTGATTTTACCAATTAAAGTAAATATATTTAAACTTCAATATGATTGAGAAAGGACTAGTCCAAAGGAACATCCATATTTGCAGAAAAATACACAGAAGAAGAAGTTACTTAGGTGGACAAAATATACTTGCCTTTTCTTGGTTGGTATATCCTGGTCTTCAGGAAACCATCATTTGGGGCAATCACCCTTTGTCAAACAATCTCTAAATAAAACTGATTAGTCCATTTTAAAAGGAAAAAGTGGTGATACTGTAAACAGTGGTTGATATTTGAAATGAGGACTAAAGGAGAATAGACATGTCTTAACTTAGAAATTTTTTCTCATGTGCATGAGTATTCAGAGGAAATAAAGAATTAAAGATGCAATACATTTCTGAGGACTTAACAGTCCAGGAGGCATTTTAATTTCTCTGAGGTCCATTAAAGAAATTGATTACTTTTTATGATGAATCAAAATTTTATTTGTTGTAATAAAGAATTCTAATTGCAGTGAAGAGTTCCAGGATTACCCAATTAATGGAATTTAACATTTATTGAGCCTTTACTACACAGTCCAAACATTATGCTAAGTATTTTACATGCATTACCTCATTCAGTCTTCCAATTATTTCACTAAAATCATCACCACTTCACAGAAAACAGAAACAACAAAAAAACGAAACAAAACAAAACCCTGATGTTTAGAGAAGTGTGTAAAAGTGTCAATGCCACAGAGCTGGAAATTGGGACTGGAACCCAGGGAGTCTGACCCTTAAACACTATGACATGTTGTCTCTTACAACAATCTTTGTTTTACATTAAAATTATCTCCCTAAATTCTGGTACTGAATTTATAGCTGTGAGATGTGTAGAATCTAGTATGTAACAAACTGCCAAGAAACAATCAATGATCAAAGAGAATGTGAGACTGTTAATTTATTAATACATAATATATGTGACTTCCTCAGAAATGTAAAACTAAATTGTTCTTTTTTGAAACTGACATTTGTTTTCACTTTTAGAAACCTACTTGGCAAATGATTTACTCTTCAATCCTAAATAAAATTTTAATTTCTGACATGCAGAAAGATTCGTAGAATACTGATCTGAATGTATTGATTACAAAGACTTCATGTGAATTTTCAAACAAATCAAATTAAAATTTAAAGCTTCCTTTGCAGAAGGTATTTTTATTCTTTGTTATTCCTATGATCTCATAAATCACCCTGGTTAAGAGTATATTTAGTAAATATTTAGTTAGTAAATTCAGTTTAACAGGGAATATATTCTCAAACTATTGAAAAATGATTATCTTTTCAAATAATATATGCATAGACTGCTTGTGAGCATTTAATGCCATATATTCACATATAAGTGTATATGTGGATTTGTGTGTGACAGATCAGATATACAAAGGTGGGAACTAAACTGATAATTCACTCCATCCCTGGATTTTCTTCACAATACATAAGAAGAAAAAAAAAGCAGAAAGTGTTTATTTTTTCATTTTGTTTTAATTTCCTACTTGCTCAATGGCCTATGTGTACTATTCTCTGACTACTGAAGTCTGTTTTATAATTAATGAGCATATCATAATCCAAACTTCTTGAGAATAAGAAAGCCAGGAAATTAAATGGAAGGCACAGCCACGTAGAACAAAGCTTGCCAGCATACCACTCACATTGGGAAGAATTATTTCCTCCCCACTAAGTAACTCACAGAGTCTTATTTAAAGTTTACAACAGCCTACTTTTCCTCTCCCGCCTCTGAGGGGAGATAAGAATACTTCTCAGTGTGACAAAAGCCCACCTACTCAAAGGGGATGTTAATTATTGTTACACAATTAACCTCACAAGAAAATTGTTAAGATTAATGAAGCAGTGCTTACTAAGTGATTACAAGTTCCTCATGACCTATTGTAGAAATATTTGTTTACCAAACACTTACATGTATATTAATAACAGATTCCGTGCAAATTATTTCAATGTCCAACCTATAGACCAACATTTATAAATTATAGCCTATGTATCAAAAAAAAGGAGTAAAATAACAAAGGAGGAAGAGAGGGAGAGAGGGAGGGAGGGGCTGTGAGAGAAATAGAAGAGAGAAAAGACGAAAGAATACAAGAGAAGAAAAGGAAGGAAGATAGGCAGGAAGGAAAGGAAGGACAAAAAGAGAACAGGACAAGTTCTTACCTTTCAGCAAAACCACCATGCTAGAATAAATGTTTTTCTCTTAGTTCTGTAACAATCATGGTTCAACAAAGGACCACAGAACCTTCTCTCTAATGTAGTTTTAAAATAAAGAAAAACTCGAGTATCTTTAAATGTTGAAAGAATAGTCTCCTATAAAAATATACAATTACTGTACTTATTTTAGTATTTATTAATTTTAAGTAGGCTAAAACAAGATCATTTTTGATAAATCATACCTAAAATGGGTTCTAGAGTGCTTTGCTAGTAATATATGCAGCTACCTCAGAGTACAATGTGGAATATGTGCATACATTCTTCCCCCAAAATATCATTTACTGACATGCCCATCACCTTATTACATCTGGATTACAGAACACATCACCAATGTAACTAATCACGTTTTAGCACACCACAACTGTTCCCCAATCCACCTCAACTGGACATTATAGATATGTCAGAATAGGATAGATTAGGCTGTAGTGACACCACCAACCCCTAACTTCTCAGCGTCTCAAAAAAGGAAGTTTTATTCCTTGCTCATGCCTCACAGTCATCATAGACAGGCAAAGGCTTAGAGCAGAGGCTCTTCTCATTTTAGTCACTTAAGAACTCAGCTGAGAGAGGAGCCCCTTCTCTTTAGGTACAGGTATCCATGCTAGAAACAAAGACACTTTCACAGTCTTACTCCAGCAATAAAATGACTCAGATCAGAAGTGAGCAATGTCACTTTTGCTCACAACTCATTAGCCAGAGCCAATCATATAACCCCAAACAACCATTAGTAGGCCAGTAACACAATTCCTACAGAAACCCAGAATGGTAGGAGTCTGTAACAATTTGGTGAAAAACATTCATGACATCTCAATTATCTACTGATATCTAAGTAATGTCAATGCTAATAAGCTTTTTGTTGCTATTTTATTAACATGTCTTCGGTTAAGGATATTCATTATGTGTAAACACCAAAGGAATTAAGCATAATTATTATTGCTCTAATAACTTCAGCTTATTCCAAGAAACTTGAGTTTGAAACTGAAATATTTGAGGGTTATCAAAACAATAAAGGAGAGGCAGAATGAATACCACCCAAATGTATTACATTTATAAAGATTTAAAATTAAGCCTTCTGAATATTTATCAATTGTACTTAAAAATTTTAAAGGATTCTAAATAAATATTCATATTTATCTAATTAAACTAGTATGTGAGAAAAACACATGATTGGAGTAAGCTAATTTGCAGGAGGATTTTTGTTTGGGAGCCCAGGGTGGAAGAGGTCTGGAGTTCAGATGACCAGAGAGAAAGATGGAGAAATGTGGTGCCTGTCTTGATGTCCAACAGGGGGCCTCAGGACAAACTCGCTCCAGACAGAGTCTGAAGAAAGTGTTTATGTTCCAGGAGCAAGAGGTCGGTCATGAGCAGATCTGTTATTTCACAAGTGTGACATAGAGTGGGAAAGCGGGAGTCTCACTGCTGGCTTAAAGACAGCTTGCCTTCATGACACTAAGGTCTGTGCTAAGCAAAAGCAGAGACACTGAGTCCTGGCAGGAGATTGCAAATGCCTACCAGACAGGGTGAGGCATGGTAGAGAAGTGACAGAGAACGCTTATCGGACGCTACCCAGCAGGCATTGAAGATACCTGAGAAGCACCATAGAGAAAGCTGAAGACTTGCATAAGGGGTGGGAGTTAGACTCAGGCAAACTCAATTATTGGGTTGTGTGGGGAAGAGCAGAGTATGGAAAAAAATTAAGCACAGATAGATATGCAGGCCATAGGATCCTAGATAAATTATGAATTTTGTTCTAAGCAAAACACAGTAGGAACAAACTGACAGTCCTTACACATACTTGGTGACCATAAAATTGAAAACATTAGTTTTCAATGGAAGGAAGTTTAAAACATTAATTTCTTGTATGTGGCTACATATGGAGACACTGATTTATAGTTCTGCAGTGGTTTTTCAAGAGGAGTTGCCTCTCCTACCAATATAGGAAGAAAGGAGAGACTAATTAGGCACGGCTTTAGGCTTTCTGCCCACTTCATCCAAAGCAGCTCTGTTTTTAAAAGGCTCTTATATATTGGCTTCCATTTAGAAAAAAAGGTTCCACTGCTAAGGGGAGATAATGTTGTATTAATTCACATCCTACCATTTACTTATTTCTTTTGCCTAAATCAGTTCTTTATTTAGTGGATCAACTTCTGCTCTCCTAAACTCCCACTGCTCCATATTTGTGGTTTCTGTGGTCTCAGAACACAGAGGCCAGAGGCAAGCACATGTAATATTTATTATACCTAGAATTCATTTGTGACCCTTTATTATCAATTGAACACCAAAGTATGATCATTAGAAAATTCCAGGGAAACCACTAAACAGAAAGAACTCATATGTTTTTAAAAGAGTAGATTTTTAATATACTACAAGCTAAAGTATTAAAATGTTCTCTTTCTTGGAAGTGAAATGATGCTGCTCCACGGCTGTTTACTTCATCACATTTGAAAGCAAAGCCTGTTGAAAAATAAAATGGCCATTGCAATTGGCTAATTTCTCAAGCAGCACTTAAAAAATATACAGTTTGCCCTTTAAGTTGCAAAAACCAAGGCCAGCCAAAGAGAACTGACCACAGGCTGACATATCTGTAAAGGAAGCTGACCTCTCTTGGAAGCCAAAATAAACTGACATTTCTCAGTCTACAGTGCAGAGGCAGATCTTTGAAAGTTTGCCAGATTTATGTGGAAAGATTATATAAAGTAAACAGATTTTTGTCTTCCCAAGTTGCCCTCTTTTTACATTACAATTTTTATAAGTAGTAAACATAAGAAGTATTTCCAAAAACATCCAGCAGACATAAAATATCTGTTTTGCATTGCCTATTCAAAAAAAATCATAAAGCTGTTTCAATAGAAGTCTAGAAGAAAAGTCAGCCTTTTAATTTTTTTTCAGTTACTTCTTTTCCTCTCAGGCTCCTTTCTTGATGTGAAAAGCAACAAATGGACAAACAAAAAGGAAAAATAAAAAGCTGTAATTTTCCTTATGAAATTATAAAGGAAAACTTAGTTGCCTTGATTGTTTTCCGGAATAAAACGAAGAAGATACACAAAAATACATTTTGTGTATGTGTTTTGTTTTTGTTTTGTTTTGAGACAGTGAGATCAACAGGCAAAATGAAACTTGAACAGCAACCAAAATTCTATTTTTATTTTCATCTTTCCATTTTTAAAATGATATAAAATTAGACTAAATTCTTAATCTGTCAGGAATTTTTATGTTTTATATGGGAGCCTTGAAGTAATTTGTTTTTGTCAGCTCACACAAATTTCTTTGAACATCTAGGGCAGTGCAAATGTTCCATTGTCTCATCAATACTGAAAATAAATATTATGTATGATGTATATGAACGTATGTGTATTATGCAATTTTTAAAAATTGTGATGCAATTAAAAAAAAACCAACAGATAAATACCGAAAAAAACCTAGAGGGCCTAAACTCAAAGAAGAGTTATTAAGACAAACACATATTGATATTTTAATTTTCAATACTTCATTGTTATTTATTTCTCTGTACACTTGCGCTACTCTGTGCGCCCATCTGCAAAAGGGATAATTATTACATAAGACCTTTAGTACATTAAATGGAAGGACCACAATATAAAACACTGATTTCCGATTTATTTTATATATACTCTGAAATCACCTCACTAACTCAACTATACACCTTGGTGTTAGTCAGGGTCCCAGTAAGAAACCTGTTGTTCTCAAGGTATTATGAGAAGCAAGTACAACAGCATGAATAGTGCTTTGAGTAAGCAAGGAAAGATAGTTCAGTGCCCAGAGCTAGAAACAGTGGGGAGCCATTACTGCCCATAGGCTTAAAGGAGTAAGGCGCGTGGTCACCAGAGCATCAAAGAGGGAGGTCACCTGACAGAAGCTGTAACCTTCAACAGAGGACAGGGGCATGCAGCCAACCCACAGCAATGCAAGGCGAGAAGCCCAGAAAAAGAGACACCCTGACTTTGCTCATTTCTCACCTTCAATGCTATTTCTCAATGTATCACAAGGTAACCAAGAATGCACATTATTTCTCCAAAACATAGATTTCCCCAGACAATGATAATAAAGTAAAAATCCAAGATAGATTGTCTTAGTAAATCTATACAGACTCTGAAGTTGAAATACATGCTCTTTAAATTTAATAATCTTAGACTAAAAATCAATCGTTTTTTTGAGACCTATCTCATATTTGTTTAAATTATGTATACAAAATAGTACAAAAAATCTAATGAATGAAAGCTTTAATTTGTAGACACTAGTCTACATTAAGTAGTATGTCAATCAGACAATGTCTGATTATTGTCCTGAATAAATATCAGGTAATTTTAATGATTAGATTTATCAAATAGTCATTTAGACAGTCAATTAGACTGTTCATCTTTTATCTTATAGAGATGTTGTTGAATGTGTATTCCAAAAGAGTTATGCTTATCTGAAATGATGGTCCCATTACATATTTGTAGATTAGGGTTCCATTAATCAGGTAAGATTTGGACTAAATAGTGTTGAAAGATCTTTATAAGTCTGAATATTTGTGATTCAGTTTCAAAAGTACTCCAGACATAAGAGGGAGTGAGAAAATTTATAGCTCTGAAATTCTTTAGCTTTTCATTTGATCTGATTTGTAGTAAAATTATTTAAAAAGAAAGACCATGATTTTTAGAGTATTCTGCATAATTGACACTTCAATGGGGCAGATAATATGTAACTGACACAGTTATTGCCCATACAAAACAATATGTGCAATAGAACTTTGCAAACTAGAAAGCATTTTCTGAATGATAGGTGTTATTATATTCTTTGTATTTATGAAATCTTTATTTAAATGCTTTAGTTCTTTATTTTCTTAAGGGTGATATGTAAAGATTCTCTTTAAAAATGCATCTTATTGGAGAACAAATTATTAGTGTTTAGGTACATAAATATAGAAATTTAAAAAAAAATTATCAAAATTTTAAAAATCACCTTAAAAAGAAGGAACACCAGGAGAAATGTCATGAAATGAATATTGTGTACTACTCATCTAGTATGAACCACCCAGGAAAGCAAATGTTTCTGTGACATTTCTATTACCTTAACATAACTGTTGTTAAGAAGTAATTCTACCTACATAATCTTCCGTGGTTGACTCCACAATTTTCTTAATGATTTTTAAGCATTAACGTCTGAGTACATTTGCTACATCCTAAATATTGCAATCTGGATCCATCAGCGTTCCAATGTCTTTCTCATGCCCATATTTGCTCTCTTTCGAAAAAAAAAACAAAAAAACTCACACTCCCCAAATAAACTTGTTTTTTAGTAGAAATAATTTGAGAAAATATTTATCCAGGATTAAGTTAGCAGGTAAATTATTTCATTTTACATGATAGAAACAGAAACCAAACAGTAACCATTTTACCTTCATATTTTATAACATGCCTCAGGCATCATCATTGTGTGATAGGGACTGGTTATAGGAAAAATGCACATCAGCAAACATTTAAAATTTCAGGAAGGCTCCTATTCATTCAGTTAATTTTGAGTTAATCAGCTACATGCTCATGTATTTAGTGCATTTGTTACTTATTGAATTTTCCATACACACTAGAAATACTTTATTAAACTTTTACAGCCGTGTAGCTAGGTCATTCTCTGCAAGTGCACAAAATTCCTGGAGGATAGTTGAAAGATAATTGAATGTAGAGCCTGTGGCATTTCATAGAGTCTCATAGATGATATTTTTAAATTTTACCTTATGAAAATATCAGAATTCTCAAATTGATGCTAACCATTTTTGATTTTTTTTAGTATCTAATTATGTAAGCATTGTGGGGGGATATTCGGGATCATTGGTCTCTAATAACTTATCAGAATTCACTGAATGAAATTCCAGCTAAGTCATCCTTTTTTCCAAGTGTTTAAATATGGACTAGCATTTCAAGATAATTTCTTTTCAAAATAGATCTCAAAACATAAACCTCATTTTGCAGAATCCAGCAAAGATTAAAATAGTCGGAAATCATTTAACTTAAATAGCTTTGCTGCCGATCAGCAATGATATTCAAAGGACAGCTTTCCAGGCCCAGGATGATGCACACACCACTATCTTGATCTAAGTCGTGTATTATTAGTCATGCCTTCATCAACACAAAGGTATTGAGATGTTACCTGTTCTTCATCTAATACAAAACAGACACATATCTCTATGGCTTTATGATCCTTTGTTAAATGCTCTAAATTCATAGTCAAGTTCAAATAATTAAGTGGCACTCTAAATCATTATTGATTATCAATTCTCTATGGTTTATAGCCAAAAATAAGAATAAAAACAAAGTTTCCAAAACTGTGCTGATTTGAAGAGAATATTTTATATTAATGTACATTAATGTACAAAAATAAAATTTAAAGGGTTGGGTACTAGATACATTAAATACCATATAATGACATCGTATAATGAAAAATATATAGAAAAATTATAACTGTTTCAAGTGTAAACATAATACTTAAATAAAATTCTACTTCACAAAGAAACATAAGCAGTTTTAAACATAATGAAAAATACCTCAGTGAAAATTTATTTCAATTACGATAAGAGGTTATAAGAAATCCATGCTTAATGTATGCAGGTCTCATTCTAGAGAGCTACTACACCTTCCACACTCAACAACTTCAT
This sequence comes from Homo sapiens, assembly GCF_000001405.40. NCBI lineage: Eukaryota > Metazoa > Chordata > Mammalia > Primates > Hominidae > Homo > Homo sapiens. Next base: position 68,647,080 of record NC_000006.12, on the reverse strand, counting down.
TATTAACAGTATTCTTTTATTTCAATTTTGCTTTGTTCATTCATATTTTCAACCATACACACATGAAATACGGAAATCCTTCTTAAAGTTTCCAACCCAAATTCCCTTCTCTGGTCCCCAGGATTATACTCATTAAGAATTCCATGCACAAAACATCAAGCACTCAGTAGATTCCTAATCAGTAAATAAATAAATGTTTGCATAATAATAAAAATACCAGAGAAGATATGTTTTTAAACCAATGTTACCAACCCTTCCTCTCCACAACACACACACTCTTACACAATTAAAAGTTTCAAATGGTTCTCAAAACTTTGCAGACCCATATAACTGCTATGTAGCATCACATAGTTACTCAAGTCACTTCTTCTCTTCCTTGCCATTCTCCTTACCCAAAAACAAAACAAAAAATAAAATAAAATGTTCTCCAGTCCTGTATACACAAGTTTTATGAAAGGTAAAAAACAAACAAACAAAACAACAAATAAAAACATATGAAGTAGTATGAAAATTCAGTGTTATCATTTGTATTTATTTATTTTTATCAATTCCCCAGCACTTGGAAGTCCATCTTTTTTTCTTTTTTCTTTTTTTTTTTTTTTTTTGACAGAGTTTCGCTCTTGTTGGCCAGGCTGGAGTGCAGTGGCCCGATCTCTGCTCACTGCAACCTCCTCCTCCTGGGTTCAAGCTGTTCTCCTGCCTCAGCCTCCTGAGAAGTCGGGATTGCAGGCATGCCCCACCACGCCTGGCTAATTTTTGTATTCTTAGTAGAGACAGGGTTTCATCATGTTGGCCAGGCTGGTGCCAAACTCCTGACCTCACGTGATCCACCCGCCTCGGCCTCCCAAAGTGCTGGGATTACAGGCATGAACCACTACGCCCAGCTGGAAGTCTATCATTTTCAATGTTAACTTTTTCCATCCTGGACACAGGTCATCATGTCTGGGTAATTTTATTTTATACAAATGATAAACAATTTTTAATATTTTATGAGAAAATTGCATAAGAATATAGATATGTCTGAAATAGAATGTGAGTTTTAATCAGAAATTGTTTTGATCTACCAGAAACTGAAGAAGGGAGTTTGAGGGAAAAGAAAAGGGCACTGGGCTGGCCACGGTGGCTCCTGCCTGTAATCCTAGCACTTGGGAGGCCGAGGCAGGTGGATCACCTGAGGTCAGGAGTTTGAGACCAGCCTGGCTAACATGGTGAAACCCCGTTTCTACTAAAAATACAAAAAATTAGCCAGGTGTGGTGGTGCACACCTGTAATCCCAGCTACTCAGGAGTCTGAGGCAGGAGAATCGCTTGAACTCTGGAAGCGGAGGTTGCAGTGAGCCTAGATCACGCCATGGCACTCCAGCTTAGGCAACAAGAATGCAACTCCGTCTCAAAAAAGAAAAAAGAAAAGAGCACTGACATTTATCGAGGGCCTAACATAACTTGAGCATACAAGCAATCTCATTTAGTATGACACTCCATTGCAGTAGGTATTATTCTCAGTTTATTAATTAGTCAAGCTCAGTCACTTGTCAAAGGTGCTACTAAGTGGCTGAGTCATTTTAGGGACCAAAGTTTTTCTTATACCAAATCATGCTTCTCATTTCAAGGAAGTGACACACCTAGAAAAAAGTATTATCTCTGATTTCTTATTAGTTAATTGAATCGGGAAGAAATTTCCACAGGCACTGACAGGAACTGAAATATTCCAAGTCATTAATTTTATTAATTTTTTTCATACATGATGTCATTTCCTATCCTCCTGTACCCTGAGAAATAAGCATTACTAGCCTACTCTGAAAAGAAGAAAGTGATAATATAGAGTAGTAGCCATTATAAGGAACAGCAAATTAAAACTCAGCTCTCTTTGGTTCATGATCTTAAAACCCAATATATACAATTTAGAAAAAAAAAATTACAAAATCTTATTTTTAAATGAACACTGATTTCTTTTCCAAGGGCCGGACTGCTTTTATAGGTAATACATACCAGACTGAGCCTAAAGAAAAACTATGATTTATAAATTAGATATATGGAAAAAATCAGCTTAACAATAAAATTGCTTCTGTCAGGAAAGGAAGTAAAAGAAAACATGCAAAAAGCTGGATTTTAAGAGAAGTAAAATTCCTATCTCGATTTTGATAGAAAATGAACTTGAAGTACATTAATCTACAGCTGTTGTAAAAATCCTCTGAAACACATATGTTGGCACATGTGTGTATACATTGTATACATACAAACAAATGCACTTAAGTGTTCGCACCCCTCTTAATATGTTAAATCTATTGTCTACAAAAAATATGCTACCATGTAATGGAGTTTTCTTTCTTTAATTGCTACATACATGAACTACTCCTTAATTGGTGAAATTCTAAGATGGCAAACGGAATAATTGTGGCATTTTGTTATACTTGACCGGGCCTATAATTTTAATAATATTCCATCACTAACATAGATCATAATCAAGAGTGAATAACAGTAACACTGAAACTGATGTATAAATAGTCTTTTCTATTTCTTGGAAAGACAGCTTATGTTTATCTTCAAAGTGTGGAGGAGAGGATTTGCAAAATGTCATTACTGTACAAGTAATGCTAGGGCCAGAAAAGAGAAACAGAGAGAGAAATGAAGTCAAATAAAGAGATAGAAAATGGCTAATTTTCTTACCATTTTTTTTCTAGATGGGCATACATAGCAAGTTCTATTTATCATTGACATTTTAAAATAAACATATAAATAATTAAGAATATTTGTTAGTAAGTCCTTGTTATTTTAAAAACTTTTAAAATAACACCTTGGAGATCAGGAACTGACATCAATAATGCATTAATAAAATTGGAAATTATAAAAATAATAGCAATCTTCCCCTAATAAAGGTGTAAGTAAAAGGTAGATGCTTTCCCAAAGTCATGTACTTCTGTTTTTTTTTACTGTAACCTATTTATTGCTGTCTTTCCTATTGAGTTTTTTTGTTTCATTTATTTCACATTCATTTCAACCAATATTTACTAAAACCATGTTCAGAGTGTGCTGGATAATTGAAAGCCTCAGGGTTTTTTTTTTGTTTGTTGTTTGTTTGTTTGTTTATTGTTTTTATTTTACTTGAAGAACTCAGTCTGGTAGAGTTAGATGGAATTTTTTTTTTTTTTTCTGATAGAGTCTTGCTCTGTCACCCAGGCTGGAGTGCAGTGGTGCGATCTCGGCTCACTGTAACCTCTGCCTCCAGGGTTCAAGCAATTCTCTACCTCGGCCTCCCAAGTAGCTGGGATTACAGGCTGCCACCACCATGCCTGGCTAATTTTTGTATTTTTAGTAGAGAAGGTGGTTTCACCATCTTGGCCAGGCTGGTCTTGAAGTCCTGACCTCATGGTCCACCCGCTTCGGCCTCCCAAAGTGCTGGGATTACAGGTGCAAGACACTGCGACCAGCCGAGATGAAAATATTGATGTAAAATCACGCTGCAATATGGTGAATGCTAGAAAAGAAGTACAGTATGTGCAAAGGTCTGTGGGATCCAGCACAGGGACAGGGCAAACTGTCAGGCTGTTTCTTCAAGGAACAACAGATTCAGTAAATCGTTCTGCATTCTGATAGAGTATGGCATCCTGGCAGTGACATACGAAAAAAAAAAAAAAAAAAAAAAGGAAGATGAAGAGTGTAAAGAGAAAGGTGAATGATGACTCCTAAAGTTATCTGAGGGCAAACAGAACAAAGGTAAAAAGAAATGGGGACAATTAAACTGACATAGACTCAAATCACATTAGATTGCAAATATGTCCCTAAAAATGACAACACATACACACGCAGGCATGAACTAAAGTCTACACAGGCCTATGGTGAGACTTCCTTTGGGGAGTAGAATATCAAGGATTAGCAAAGGCAGAGTAGAAAGACAAATGAGTGTGTGTGTTCAGATTTCCTGGAATCTATACAGAGATCCCAATTTCCTTTCACATAAGTAGCACCATTGATGTCAGTAAGAAACAAAGATTCCATTAAGGCTTATTATGTGATTTAGATATCCTGGTGTAGAATTTTTCTGCCAAAACTGTTTTAATCATTTATTATAAATGAAGTGGTAAGAAATAAGATATTTTTATTCCACATTTTATATCTCAGCTATATAGTCCAGAATTATCTTCAGCAAAAGAGTCCTATAAACTATAGTAAAGACCTCAGGACAATTAAAGATGACTTTGTTAATAAATACCAGTCTTTCTCCTGACTTGTACCTAAAAACTGGTAAACCATAATGTTATTTGAGTTTTTTTTTTTAAGTTATAGCCATTATATGTTAAGAGGTTTTTAAAAAGCTGCCTGAAATAAGACATTTTTATTTGGAAAAAAAAAAAAGGCTTCATTTTGTTAACTTAGTTGGCTTTCACAATTTCATATAAAAATTAGGGAAATAACTGAGTTTCTATAATCACATGATACCCCCAAATATGTCAAATATGATCTTAAACAAGAAATTTTAAAAATGTACTCAAATGTAATACTTTAATGAAGCATTAGTCAAATAATTTACTTTGTATGATATATTCAAGATAACATCTGTAATTGTTGGTGTCACTAAAAACAGCAATAGTTTTCTTGCCGTTCTTTTCTGGCTATGAAATTTTTCAGTACATGAATATATTATTAAAGAAGGTTCTAGCATAAATCCTATCTCAAAGTAGGCATCCCACTCCTGAGAGTCTATTGTTTTTCAATACTAAATACCAAATATTATGTCATAATACCAGTGGACACACTCACAATATTCAACATTTGATATATCTTTGCCATCACCATCAGTATTACACAAAACAATCTGGAATCACATCTACTAAGTGTGAAGACTCTTCAAATTTGTGCCACTTCTATGGTACAATACATGTTGAAGATATTTCTACTCAAGGCAGGCCTTCTGAGTCAGTATTTATTAGTGAATAAAATGGGAGTCAAAGGAGAGTAATCTTGTATTTATTCCTCTGCTGACTTAAGAGACAACCTTTTTTAATAGGAAATGGAAAACACCAAGTAATATAAAATATAAGTGGAATTTTTAAAACCCAATTTTAAAAGCTGGAATTTCATGTTATCATATAAAATAACACTCTGGAATAAAATGAGATATGATTAGTACAGCTATATGTAATGATTAACCTCAAGCTCTATGTCATTATATGGTAGTTTATTTAAAATGGTATTAAATAATTATTTATTAGTATTTTATATATCATAATATCAAATATTGAAGATAGAATATACTTTGCTTAAATTTGATTAAATCAAAGGTCAATAGATTTTCACATTCCTTTCCTACAATGTAGCCTAGCCAAAAAGAGATTATTTAACTGGGGTAAAGAGTGGTACATGTATTTTGTAAGAATTACTTAACAAATACATCACCTACAAATGTGTCATCAGTAATTACTTATCCTTACCTTTCTGAACTCAGAATACCTAAACAAAGAACACAAATTCAGAATGTACAGAATAGAGACTATGTGCTTTTACTGACATAGCATATGTTGTTCCCCTATGATACAAACTTTTTCTAGTTCAACTCTATTAACATCATACTGCACTTTAAATGTAAGTATATTTGTCAGTGAAGGTATTTCTTTTTCATTTTGCCAGTGAATTAATGACAATATACAATTTGTCTCCCATGATTTATACATCTGCTGTCTAAAATCACTCTTATTTGTCTTCACTTACAAAACAAATGGCTATCTAGTAGCTTCTGTAAATCCCAGCATTATCTTAACCCACATCTCGGGATCATGATCAAAAAATCTTTGAAAATCATGCTTAATGCACACACAACAACTTTGTTTTTGTCACTTACCACCTTTCATATAAAAGAGTTGTGACACTGAATTCACTCTCCACTGTCGTCAGTACTCAATTTAACCATTGAAGAAACAGATTTTCTAAACTGTATTAAAACAACAGTAAAACAAACAAAAACCAGCTTCCTATGTTAATGGTTTATTAGCCAGTTTGTAACATCACATTTTTTGTGTGTACTGTAGCTTCTTATTCTAGGGGACACTAATTAGTTTTAAATGGTGTTAAATACCATCCCTGCAGTTGCAAATGCTTCTCTGGGATTTTTTACTACAGAAAATAACTCCTGTAATTTAAAACCACTTTGTTTTCTTCAGTCACAGCTGATAGTGAAACACTGACCTGCAGAAATCTTTAAGGTTTTCACCCCTCTCTCACTGCCATTAGTCTGCATTCATTTTCTAACAGGTCTTTTCCTCTCCTACCATTGCTCTTCCATAATTCCCATCCCTTAAATTGCAGCCAGCAGAGAAATAGCATTAGGCTATTTCGGTTCTCCATCCCTCCACTTCCCCTTACAAAGCCTTGGCTACACTTAAAGAAAATTCTCCAACAACGTGTCAATTTTATATTGGCCACAAAGACAACTTCTGTTGGTTGAGGAAAAGGAAAGAGGGACTGGAGCTTGGCGACTGGAGTTTGGCTGTCCCTTTCCACAGACTGGGATCTTTGTGGCAATCAGAAAACATTTCCTGCATAAGAAATCAACACACTCTCTGGTTTCAGGATTGGGAAGCAAGAACTAATATGTATCAGCAGTGTCCTTAAAGGAGTGGAACACAACATCCATTAACCTTCCAAACAACAAAAGTCATTTTCTCAAAATATGTCACGCTGTCTTGCATTATTAAACATAATCACAATCTCAAATCCTCTGGTAGCTCCCCCACTGGGGATTGGGTGAAAACTATAAATCATTCCTGTACTTTCTTTTTCTTCCGCATTTCCGTTGCACTTCCTCCCCCTCCTTTCCCCCAGCTAGCTCTGAGACATTCCCTCTCTTCGTGTACGTCAACCGGGGACTAAGAAGATAAAGGCAAAAATTCACTCTCAAGAGGAGGATGGGGTCTTAAAGGATCACTATGTGTTTTCATTGCACCCCTCCACCCCGTCCTCAGGTGACTCCAGAACCAAAAGACCTGGAGAGTTTGCGCTTCTAGTGAGTTCCTTCTGACCCAAGAAAGAGCAAGCGTGCGAGATTTTTGCGCAAGCACCTCAAATAAAATTCCAGACCAGGGGAGAAGGGGGGTACACCTGCCTTCATGTGTCAGGAAGTCATTTGGTCCAAACAGGCAAACTATTAAGTTTGCACTACCTTTTAGTCAAGATGCCCCAAGATCAGACCTGGAAATGGGTGGGGAGTGAGAGGGAAGGACTCCGTGGGGATAGGAGAGAGGAAGTAAAGTGGACGTTTTGCTGGGCTGGAACAGAAGGGAGATGTCTATAAATCCACTTCACATGTGGGGCGTGTGTGTGTCACCATGAGGGGCTGCAGCCTGAATAAAGAAACCCCTCTCCCTCCTCACCAATCTCTAGTGCATGCTGGCTCTAGGTTTCTGCATCTTTCTCCTGAAAATTCCACCCTCACTTCCAGCGCATGCTGCTGAGCTATCCAGTCCTCACCGCCCTCTCTAAAACCTTGAAACCTAAAACTAGCTCAAGAGACCTTTATCAGTGAATAGCACAAATCAAATGAATCAAAAAGTGACAATAAAGGATAAATAATTAGGCCTGTGTGTTGAAACAGCACGTTTTAACTCCATCCCCCAAAAGTGCTCCCCCGCTCACCTTCCCCTCTCTTTGGCACTTACCTTCTTTGGGTGGTCGCTTGGCCTCCCTGGTAAGATTGCAGACTTGGGTGGTTTGCAGCTCCTGGGTCAGGCAGCCCTCTGTCTGCTCATTCAGGGGTAACACCACGTTATTTAACAAAATCAGCGACTGGTCGTCGATCCCCCACTCTCCCAAATGCTGAGGGCAGGTGCATTTTGTATACATGATCCCACATGATTCTGTTCTCCCATTTTCTGATTTTAAGCAGCTCTCCAACCAAGTACATAATACATGGCAACCAAACTGGCTTGGGCTGACCTTGTTCAATACCAAAAACTCAAAAAAAGATTTCTGATCTTCTTCCCCTTTTTTCTGTAATCCTGGGAAATTAGTTGGAAATACTCGACGTATTTGAATAAAATTTTTATCATACTGTAGAAAAACGAAAGCATTCTTGGAATTGCAGAGTTGCATTATAGAATGATTCTTTCTTAAAAGATCCTTTATTTTTTCATGGGAAAAATGATCAAACTGATAAGCCAGGAGTGAAAAGTTAGAGCAGCTAAGGTCCTTTTTGGAAAATTTCAGGTAAATGCTATATTTGGTTGGATCTGGATTTTCCAGCGTCCAAGTGCAGTTTGTAAAGTTTTTAGGAAACATTTCACTTACAGAATACGATCCATAAATGACTCCCTTCACCAAAGTTGAACACCAGAAGTCTTGGGCAGCATTAAATCCAAACATAACCAGGAGATAGGTGGAAAATATATAAATCAGCAGGTTACGAACAGCCTTCATCCTATGTCATTTGGCCTGTAAAAATGGCAATGAAAGTAAAATGCAAGTAGGAGTCTACGTGCATTGAGAAAATAAACTCCTTTCAATATTACAGCCAGCTGTTTTCAAGATTTCAGTAAAAAGCCCTTTTTAAAAGAAGGGCAGGTAATTTTTATTTTATAACACAGGAAAATTATCTGTTGCTGTGTGAACAGCGCCCTCATGTGGCCATTCACAATGGTCAAATTCGCAACATTCAATTTAAAAATAACATTTAATAGATTATTAATAGGAATGCCCTAACTTATCTACTAGGATATCCTCCACGTCCATTATCATTCTATCGAATGAAAAGGGAAAACATGGAGTTTTAAAACGTCATAATGTAAATGTTAATTGTCGAAATAGTATTAATCAGTCTATAGTCTATACAACCTTTTCTCTCTCTGTCCTCTGCGGTAAACACTATCATACAAAATCTAATCTGATAATCTGGGAACAGCTGTCATCACATTATTTCTCTCCTCTTAAACGTGAAAAGTAATGATGATAAATTATGGCCACAATTTTAAAAGCACAAATAATAATTTATTACAGATGGAACATCATCTCCCAAATGCCCCACTTGCCTTTGCAGGGGCCACCATGTGAACTGCTCAGAAATTCCTTTGCAAAAACATGGGCATTCATGTGGATTAGTTAATTTTAAAACCATCATTTGAGAAAGGGCATAGATGGATAAATACATAGGGAAGACTTGTTGTTCAACATCACCATTGAGAACCAGGATTTAGGGCAGTCATTTCAATGTGACATGCCCTTTTGGGATACATAAAGTGGATCACTGTATTAGTATCTGTATCCAAAGGTGATATCAGTTAAAAAAAAAAAAAATCCAGAACCATAGTAATTGAGCTGGTTTCAGTCTTTTAATTTTTGAAAAATTATCTTATCAACTGTAATTTAAGGCTTACACATGGTAATAAAATACATTAACATTTTTGTTCCTAGCAGATTTCAATTATTAAATTGCTCCCTTTCCAACAACAACTCCAAAGCTCCTCTTTTCTTTTCTTTTCTTTTTTAATTTTAACCCTGGCTTTGGATAATAAAGTAGTCCTTGGTTATATTTACCTCTGTAAGTTGTTATCCAAAAATAACTTGAATATTTTTCAGCTTTAACCTTTAAGAAGTTATTTCTTAGAATAAATGACACTGCTTTTGTTTGTTTGTTTAGCCTTTGAGCTGATAAAAGTGATGCCAAGTTAATTTTAAAAGTCTTTAGGCTGCAGTCTCTTCCACTGTTCTGTAAACAGAGACAGACATACAGACATATAGATAGTTAAGAGTTTTCATGCCTTTGCCTGGGTCTTCTCTGAATCAAAGGATAAAACCCTCTTCCTTCCCATTGCATAACACACACCAACGCATGCACACCAAATCCAGTGACCGAAGTCCCTGAAGATAGATCTGCATTTTCCAGATTATAATTCAAATTCTATGTCTTGATATAGGCAAACACAGCCCCAACTCTAAATCTCTATATAGCAGCAGTTTAAAATAACATCAGAACTGCTGGGACCATCAAAACAGTGTTCTCTGTTTCAAGCAAATAGCTCAATGAATAATGCATTTTCTTCATGAGAAAATAAAGCCAATGAGCATTTAAAGGTTAAAAAAAAACAGAGAAAGTTGTAAGAAATTCTGGAAATAATTTCCTTTTTTTTTTTTTTTTTTTGGTGTTGCACTTTGCAGGCAATGCAGGTCTGCGCAGTGTTCTTCAGGATAGAGTGTAGGCGTTGAGAGCCAATGTGACAATAAGTGTCTAAATTAGGAATTCCATCCATGAAAGGGGACTTCATTTTATAATCAGGAACTCAAAAAGAGGTCGTATGTCTTTTCCTAATGAAATTGGTACTTTTGCTTTCATTTATTTGACAGTGCATGTCTGCAATGCCGTGCTCATCAATGATCAGAGAGTGAGGAAATAGCTCTGAATTCACTTTAATGCCTGCTCAAGAGAGCGCACTCAATATAATGCTCTTTATTTTTAATCAGTCTGGAGTACACAGTCTTATTTTGTTCTAAATAATAAAAAATAAATCATTACCCTCACCCCCCTTTGGACTGCAGGGCCCGTTCAAAAAGCCGTGTTTCCCTCTTAAAGAAGGGGTGGGGGCGGGGGCAAAGGCTGGCCACGGAGGTGTCAAGGATGTTTTATTTATTTATTTATTTATTTATTTATTTATTTATCTCTTGCTGAGAAGCAAACCAGCATTGAGTTTAGCTATTCTCAAAACTGATTTTCTGGGTGACACTTTAGTTTAGTCGAACATAGACGGCGCCATCACTCCACAGATTTTTCCCCCCAATAGAAGACCCACTGCCTTCTCTTAACTTCCTTTTAACCTAAAATTTTCCCCTCATAAAATTACCCCAATCACACAAAACTGCCAGATTTTCTAGGTCTCTCCGCTTATTCCTTCTGACCCAGCACATCTCTTGAAAACCAGACTTCTCTAACTTTTCAACTGCGGCGTTTAAGTAAATGCAGACAGTCGGATCTGCTCACAGCCTCCCCATCCGCCAGCAACAGCCTTTCCTTTCATTTTCCTCCCTTCTCAAACATTAAGCCCAAAGCTCCACGGTGGCGACCCCCGGCAGAGAAAAGGTGACCCCTGGACCCCCTTCCTTACCTTCCACTCCGAAAGCTCAGGGAGGCTCTTGCTCTAAGACACCAGCACAGGCACGCGTCCCAGCAACAGTGACGGAGAGACTCCCCTTCGGTCCCAATCACCGTTGCCCATTTTCCCCGGCTCAGCTTCCAAAATCAGGATTTATTTTTAAAAATGCATACATACGAAAAGCAAAAGGTGGGGGGTGGGAACCAAAGGGGGGTCGATGAGAGAGAGGAAAAAAAAGCCAGCAGGAGCCCAGAACCTTGCGCCGTATCCAACTGAATCCAACCTCCAAACCGAGGGGGGCTAAAGGGAGGGAGAAGCCCCCCCAAGGGAGACTCTAAGGAACCCCCCAAAATGTAAGTGGCTTAATAGCAAAGATTTGTTTCATAAAAGCTACCCCCAACAAACCAAGAAGCAAAGAAAGCGCTGAGACGAGAAGTGACCGGCGGCGGCGGCGGCTGCTATGGCAGATTTGTTGGGGCGGTGGGTTTATTACAGGAGTATTCGTGGTCGGATCGGAAGGCTCAAGCTTATGCTTTTTCCTCTTTCCGCTTTCCTCCCTCCTCCTCCTCCCCCCTGCAGGTACTGATGGACGGACGGCGACTAAGGAGAGCGGGGAAAAAAATCCTTGGCTGGTGATGTCGGAAAGCTGTTTGAATGCCCAGCGAGGAGGGAGGCGCGAGAGGGAGCGAGATAGTAAAGCTCTGTCTCGGGTGTGCGCGCCGGCGCGCAGTGCTCGCTCTCCCTTGGGCGCGCGCGCGGGGGGTGCGCGTGTCCCGGGAGCGCGTCCGCGCGGCGGCCTCCCGCGTGCTCGTGTGCGCGCGCGTCCCGGGTGCCGCGCGCCCTTCTTATGCACAGCTGCGGTGCGCCCCGCCGCCCGCCAGAGGCTCGGCTCGCGCGGCGCGGCCGCTGCGACTTCCTGGAGTTCTGCCTGCCGGGGGCGCGGGCGGGTGTGTGAGAGAGAAGGCGAAGGGAGCCGCGGGGTGGGAGAGGAGGGAGTCCCGGCGGGAGGGCGGGGGAGAGGCTGGCGGGAGGGGGGCTCCACGGAGCTCCAGCCAGGGCCGCGGTTCGCCTGCACGTCACGGCTACTCAAACCCAAGCACGTCCCGAAAGCGGTATTTTCTGCGTCTGGGAGGTTTTTGCATCCTCAGTTCCCACCGCTGGGGCTGGCGGCGACCAACTGTAAGAGAAACTCACTGGGAGGCGAGGCAGGGGGGTGCGGAGGATGGGAAGGCGACTCTGAAGGGTGGGAAGTGAATGCTGGACTTGATCGTCTTTCTCTTTCTTTCAGCGCAGACCTGTCGCAGCCAGAGAGCTGTCATTTCAGTACCGGGATTCAGAATTGATCCAGTCCGCAGCGGAGGGGGCACATCCCAGCTACCGAGCTGCTGAGTGTCTCTGGCTGGAACAATAGTATTTTTTTCTCTGCGAGGCTGCAATTAACATCTTATTTGTTCTGGCTCCATACAGGCTTTGTCAGGATCGCGGTGCGGCGACCGACGTTGGGCTCTTGCATTGCTTTGTGCTTGGCAATGGAATCATGGTTTCGGGGTCTAAACTTTTGTTTCGTTTTGTAGTCTTAATGTATCTGATTCTTTTTCAAGTTTCCCTAGTAACAGGTTTGGGGACGGGGTGGGAAGAAGCGAGAAAAGGGGTGAAGAGAAAAAACCAGATTATATAGAAAGGAAAAAGGGAAAAGGGATGTTTCCCCACCTTTTAATCTAACTATCTATCTGTCTGTCTATCTATCATCATAGATAGTCATTTTGCCTCCTGGACAGTTGGCTGACGAAGTGTCTGATAAACCAGCTTCAGATACATGCTACAAAAGGTCATTCGCCTCCTGATTATGTTTCTACTTGTAAACGCAGTTGGTGGTTTGCAAAACAAGTGCTAAAATAGTGCAGTGATGTGGTGGGAGGAAACCATAATGGGTAATTCATATAAAGTGCTGGAATCTTCGTAAGGGTGAGTTTCTCGAGCGGCAGGTGAAGTTGAATAAAGCAATTTTCCATCATTTGTTCCCCTCACTCTTGCATTTTTTTCCTCCGCTTGTTTCTCTCCCCTGGGGCGATTATGGATAGCCAAGAACACCATTTTAAAAGAGATTGATAGTGAAAACAGGAAGTTTATGGTCTGTTATCCACTGGAGTTGTTTGAAATATTAAAATTGGTCCTTTACTTCTTAATGCATATTAATAGAGTGACCCTCTTCAAGGCTTTCCCGTCTTAAACGAATGCCTGGGATAAACACTGTAAGGGGAAACAGTTAATAATTCCCCAGCAGGCTTTAACTATTTTCCCAGTAACAAATCACCGGCAAGAGAGCAGCCTGGGTGGCATTTTGGTTTTGTGTCATTTTGGTTCTTTACAATATTTTTTATTCATTTAAGGAAATGTTAAAAGGAAATAATTAGGGTTTATGTCCAGAACAAATTTTGAAACACCGTTTAAGCAACACATTTTCTTTTAAAAACAAAGAACATTGAGCAACACAAAGGAGAAAAACATTTTATTTATTTCAACTTCCCTAGAGATCGTAATTATGATTTTCGCAAGGCAATTTGGTCAGTTCTGTTACTTTATCCAGAGGAAAAAAAAGCATGACAGATGTGGAATAAAAACGGAGGAAAAAATGCTTTGGATGGTTTATACATAAAAAGGAAAGAATGTAATGTGAGGTTCAGTTATACCTCTATTTTGCATCTAGTGATTTCTCATATTATCTTGTAACACTGATTTTGATGTTTCTTAGAAATTCTTAAAGTCATGACACAGTGGCATAAGAATAACAGCTGAAAGGGACAATTTAAAAGCCTAAATCCTAAATGGAAAGGTTCACTTACTCCCAGGATCATTTATATTCAAGTAGAAGTCAGGGCAGGGTCAGAAAAGAAAGCCACCCTTAATAAAGCGCTTCACCCTTCACATTGTTTCTCATAACCTTCATAAATTGCAGGCTACTGAGCTGGCCTGATGATGATCCTTCTGAGATATATTTATAGCAGATGATTTGTGGATGATAACTACGCCAAGCAAGACACTGTCTCCAGTAACCCCAGGCTCGTCTGACTTCCTCAGGGGATTATAATAAAGAATCACAAAAAGAACCCTATATGGACAGTCTGGTCTCTGGACACTAACAACAGCACAATCCAAAGGCAAAGAAAGGAGGAACCACCTTGTTTCATGTCTGCAAGCTGCTCCATATGAAAGCATTGCTGACATGTTGACCCAACAGCAAAAAGAGAGCAGCAGTTTACACACCCTCAGCTCTCTGTCCTTTCCTTTCTATTGATGTTGGTCCACTTTTATGACTGAATACATATTAAAATCACCATTTCAAATTATAATTATCTGCTTTCATTGGTCTCTTTCACAAGTCTATGTCTATATTTATGTTTACATATATAAACACATATACACATATTTTATACATACATATGTATATGTATGCACGCATTATTTGTAAGTACACATACACGTGTGTGTATATATATGTATATGATATGTATATGTGTATTTCAGTTGATACACATATATTTGCTTGGGAAGTTTCACTACATTGCTTTGTATTTCTCTTTTATAAGGTAATGCATTTAATTCCAAAACTACCACATTAATTGTATAAATTGATTATTACATAAGTTTCCTTGATGATTTACAGAAGAACTATTGAGAGGTCAGTGTTAGCACATCAAAATATAGTCTGGTATGGCATTTTAAATTGACCCAGGTATCTAATATTAAAGCCTTTCAAATTTATCTCTCCTGCTATTATTTTATTAAGATTACTTTGGAATGATGAGGTTATAAGTGTGATTTATTTCTGTTTCATCTTTTTGTCTGTATGTGCTAAGTTTAGTCCCTCCACTTTGAGAATAACCCTATAATCCAGGATCATTGCTTAAAATTCAGTATCATTTGCAGAATTCTCATACTCAAATAAGAATGTTTCTAGAATATGTTTACTCAATTTTAGAAAGTATTTTCTCTTTCCTTCTTTCTGTCATAGTTTTTCTGATATTACTGTATTACCACATTCTAAACTCTGTGACTTGTTATTTTCAGTAAGGCTTTAAGAAGCATGGATAGGTTTGTAGGTTATTTCTTGTTAAATATGCCTTAATTTTTTAGTATTTAGTATTAGTATTTAGTTTTTAGTATTTAGTATTTAGTATCTCCCATATATATATATGCACACATATATATATACACATATATATGTACACACATACATATATACACACACATATATATACACACACATACACAAAGCTTTGGAATGTTAATTAAATGATCAAAATATTACAAGATTACATTGTTATGAGAACTTATCCTTAATATTAGCATATTTACTATAAAGTTAAACAACTTCTTCTCCTCTGTCTCCTGTTTATTATCATTATTTTATTATTATTAAAAAAGGAAGTCTCTCAGAAACCAAGCTGTATATCCTCTAGTCTCTATGTAAAAAAACAAATTGGTCATTTTCTACTTGGACATCCCAGAATAGAAAGTACATTGAAGTACTAAAAAATAAAGGGATAGACTTGGGGTTAAGGGAGATGTCATAGAACAGCTATCCTGGGTTAGTTCAAGTGTAGTCCTATTCCATGCTAGGCAAAGTCAAGGTTACAAAAATCCCAGTTGCATCAGGTTTCCATTTTTTATCATTATTTCCCTATACAACGATACAAGTTAAAAAAAAGTCGGTAAATACTTTTGGCCATCAATTTTCAAGATTTCATTGGTGATATTAAGGAAATGCTGTAAGTAGGTAACACATAATGTCATATTTGTGTGCTGTAGAAGTATCTTGGAAAATATGGACTTTAAAACCTCAAAATATGGGTTTGCAATCGAACATACATTCACCCCCAAATTTGACCTTTTTCAGCTAGTTATTTTCTCATATAAAGTTACTATACTTACACCATTATCTTTAATCCCTGAAATTTCAATTATACTAGAAATCAAGATTCTTCATTTTTACTCACGAAACTGACACTAAGTATATACCTCATTAAGGACAAGAAGCTATGAATTCTCTGGACTTCAGTTATCTCACAGAAAAGAGCTTGATTGAATAATGTCTAAGGCTCTTCCTGACATAGTCTAAATAACAGAAGGTGTCTCACAAGAAATGGAAGCAGTGAGAGAAAAATGCAATTAAATCCTAGACTAGAAAGAATCACAATTTTCCCACTCACAGGTTGGAAATGCCTCTCTATTCTATCACAATTTTGAAAACCTCCATAGTTTTACTAGCTTTGCCTTTCTCCCTTGCTATCATCTTCTGAGGTACAGACAGTCCTTTCCATTTTTATTCCTCTCCCACTCTGATAATTTTTTTCTTTGACAGAAGTCCCACTTTATCATTAATGATGACAATAACTAAGGCTGCCAGGAACAGCACATCTGCTGAGCTTTATCAACACCAGGTATTGAAGTCTATGGACTACCTATTATTTCTGAACATTTATTCATGTTCAGTCCTGTTTCTACCAATTCTGATCCACTTATCTCTACCATTTCTCTTCCTGGCAGATTCTCTCATTTTGCCTTCTGGATCTCCATGCTTTTTTATACCAACAAACAAGAGGAAGAATATTCTCTACCCACTTCCTTGACTGAAGCCTGCTCTTTTATGAAGACATGGCATCTCTTCCAACCGTGTCAAACAGATGCAATTTATATGTCTGCTGCTTCCATACCCTGATTAAATGGGTCAGTGGCAGAATCAGTATCCTTAGTCTCCCCTTTGGTTTCAAATATGTACTCCTTATTTCAGTTTCATGCTCACCTTTCTGTAGAGACCAAGGCATCTGCCTTTGCAGCTTTACCTCTTCCTCCAGGTTATAGTTTCCATTCATGGAATCTTTTAGCTGCTGGCTGGCAGTTTTCCTGTCTACCTGACTTCCATTCCTCTTCTCATGACTTCAGCTCCCATGCAGATGTCTTATCCTGACATACTAGCTTCTCCATTCTATTTCTGTGTGTGTGTGTCTGTGTGTTTCCCTACTAGTTCATCCACATTTCCCTATGGTCTTTTTTTTTTATGTTTTATTTTTGCATATGTGTATTTCCTTTTATTTATTTATTTATTTATTTATTTATGTATTTTTTTTTTTTTTTTTTTTTTTTTTTTTTTTTTTTTTGAGACGGAGTCTCGCTCTGTCGCCCAGGCTGGAGTGCAGTGGCGGGATCTCGGCTCACTGCAAGCTCCGCCTCCCGGGTTCACGCCATTCTCCTGCCTCAGCCTCCCAAGTAGCTGGGACTACAGGCGCCCGCCACTACGCCCGGCTAATTTTTTGTATTTTTAGTAGAGACGGGGTTTCACCGTTTTAGCCGGGATGGTCTCGATCTCCTGACCTCGTGATCCGCCCGCCTCGGCCTCCCAAAGTGCTGGGATTACAGGCGTGAGCCACCGCGCCCGGCCTCCTTTTATTTTTTTAATTATTATACTTTAAGTTTTAGGTTACATGTGCACAATGTGCAGGTTAGTTACATGTGTATACATGTGCCATGCTGGTGTTCTGCACCCACTAACTCGTCATCTAGCATTAGGTATATCTCCTAATGCTATCCCTCCCCGCTCCCCCCACCCCATAACAGGCCCCAGAGTGTGATGTTCCCCTTCCTGTGTCCATGTGTTCTCATTGTTCAATTCCCACCTATGAGTGAGAATATGCGGTGTTTGGTTTTTTGTTCTTGTGGTAGTTTACTGAGAATGATGATTTCCAATTTCATCCATGTCCATACAAAGGACATGAACTCATCCTTTTTTATGGCTGCATAGTATTCCATGGTGTATATGTGCCACATTTTCTTAATCCAGTCTATCATTGTTGGACATTTGGGTTGGTTCCAAGTCTTTGCTATTGTGAATAGTGCCGCAATAAACATACGTGTGCATGTGTCTTTATAGCAGCATGATTTATAGTCCTTTGGGTATATACCCAGTAATGGGATGGCTGGGTCAAATGGTATTTCTAGTTCTAGGTTCCCTATGGTCTTTAACTAAAAAGTCTAACCAGTGACTAAACTGCTTCCAGTATTTAAAATTTAATGTTTCAATTCTCCAATTACAACCTTCTGCTTTTATAAACTCACCTCCTAAGTAACCACATGGAATCAAGTCTTTCACAAAATTCAGGTCTTTTTTTTATTATTAGTGATTCCCACCAATTTCTGCTCTTATCTTCACTTTCCTCCTTATACCCTGTGGTAAGCAGCCTCTAACATGGACCCAAATGATCCCTACTTCCTGATATGTGTGTCCTTGTGTAATTGTCTCTCTCTTGAATGTGGGCTAGATTTAGAAATTTGCTTTTATCAAACAGAATATGGTAGTAGCAATGGGATGTTAAGATATAAAATGACTGTGTTTTCCATCTTGGGAGCTCCTTTACTCTTCCTTAGAGCATTTGTTTGCCAGTAAGCCAGGTGCCATGTTGTCATACAGCCCTAAATAGAGAAGTCCATGTGAGTTTGGCCTTCTGAGGCCTGTCAAAAGACACATGAGTGAGCTCAGAAGTGGAAGCTTCCTCATTCAAGTCTTGAGAGGACTGCAGCCCAGCCAACATCCTGGTTGCCACTACATGACAGGCTTGAGCCAGAATCAAGCAGCTAAGCTGCTTCTGGATTCCTGACCTACAGACACTATAAATCAGGAATGTTTGGCTTCCAACTGCTAAATTTGGGGATAATTTGTTATGCAAATATAGGTAACTAATGTATATCCCATGGATTCCACGCCCATTGTTATAATAATTTACTTACAACAGTCTTCAGCTATTTAACATTTTTCTGGCTGGATCACCACGTTTACTGTGATGAACAACTGCCCTTCCTGATCCAGGACCCATGCAGCAGAGCATTACTGAAGAAATTCACACCCTCAGGCAGTTAGATGTCCCTGTAAAGTTATAGTCACCAGGTTCTCATGATCTCACCACACAGACTGTTACTTATAAGCTCCCTCTCTTATTACACCCTATGAATATTTTGTAACTTTTCTCTGATTATTAAAAATGCTTCTCCTCAACTCTTGAATGATAAGTGATAACCTTTTTTCATTCATTATTTATAAAACAGATGTGATTAGATGGAAAATATCTTATATTCATTAAACTGATTGTACCTTCACCCATTTTCTCCTGTCTTCCTATCTCCAGGGAGATACTGCTCTTATCTAAGAGCCATCCCCTCCACAGGTAACTTGGATATTACTTCTATTGGCTCTCACACCAATAATCTCTCCCTCTCTCCTGGACCACTTCCATCAGCATACATATTTTATAGCAATACTACCTGTCTAAAAACTTCTGATCAACAACCTGTTTCTCAGATACACTTCATAATGAATCTTTTTTTAAAAAGCAATCACATTCAGTTCACTTCCTGACTCCCTCTCATTTCTCATCTCAATCCATTCTGGCTTCCACCCCCACAATTCCACTGAAAAAAATCTTGTCAAAAATCACTAAAGACCTTCATGATGCCAAGTTAAAGGGATAAATGTTTTTCTCATCTTACTCTAACTTTCAGCAGCATTTTAAATGCAATGCCCTCCTTTTGGAAACCACTTCTATTTTTGTTTCTGTTTTATCATACTCTCCCAGATGTACTTTTACATCACTGATCACTGTGAAGACACTGAGACACTTCTCAGTGTCTTTTGCTTGTTCTTCTTCCACATTAACTTGAAATGCTGACTGCTTTAGAGATAAGTGTTGGATGTACTTCCCTTATTTCTCTACCACCTCCCCTTCGGTGATCTAATCCACTCCCTAATATTGAATAATAGGGAGTGAATAATCCACTCCCTAATGAGTATGTATATGTACATACATGCATACACATATATGAATAGACACCCCATGTATATTCCTTTAACAAAGATATCTCCTCTGAGCTCTAGATTTTTAAATAATCAGCTGCCGTGATTTATATCTCTACTAAATATGCCTCACAGTCATCTCAGATTTGGGGTAATTGAAGAAAAATTCCTGATTACTCCAAAGAAATGTGCTCTTCCCTCAGTCTTTCTGTTTCAGGAAATGGCATCCCTATCCACCTAGTTATTCCATTGGCAAACATGGGAATGATACCTGCTGCTAATTTTCTATCACTCTACATCTAATCCCTTGACAAATATTGCCTGTTCCACTTTGTAGAAGTTTCCTAGGGCTGCCATAATAAAATTCCACAATGTGGGTGGTTTAAGCAACAGAAATTTATTTTTTTTCAGTTTTGGAGGCTAGATGTCTAAAATCAAGGTCCATATTGGATTGGTTCCTCTGGGGCCTCTTTCTCTGGCTTGCACATGGCTGCCATCTTGCTGCCTCTTCAAATGGGGTTGGGGTGTGCAGAGATGGGCACAATTCAGCTCATGATATAACTGCAATACATAGATCTCAAACCTAACCAGTTGTTTCTTTTTTCACTGTTATCTTTTGTGTGTGTGTGTGTGTGATGTACGTAGTTTTTGCTTAGTCTATTCTACCTGGCATTCAATATTCTTTGTTAATCTATCTCTAATAAGTTATACTTCAAAAACGTATCCCTTTAAAATCAAATGGAAAAACATTTTAATTCCAGGTACTTCTCACGTAGCACAAATAATAAAATCCAAACTTTTAATCGTGACCGACAGTGCCCTACCTCATCTGATTCTCGCTCCTCTCTCTAACTTCATCTTGTGTCACACTTCTGCTTACATATAATGCCCAAGCTACATTCACCTTTTTCTAAGTCACGAGGACGCTACATTTTTATCTCCTTACAATCTTCCAATGTCAGAATTATTCTACCTGGAATACACTTCCCCTTTTCTACTGCTAGGAGAAACTTTATAGGCCTGACCTGCCCGCTTCTCATGCCTCAGATTTCATCTTGAAAATTCCCTTTTTGGAGCTTTTTAATTTTTTTTTTTAACCACCCAATCTATGGTGATCTCTCCTTATGTTCTCTTTCAAGGTACTTATCTGCTTTGTTTTGTTTTTTTACTCAGGTATATACTTTAAGTTCTGGGATACATGTGCAAACGTGCAGGTTTGTTACATAGATATATACGTGTGCATGTTCTCACTCATAAGTGGGAGTTGAACAAGGAGAACACATGGACACAGGGATGGTAACATCACACACTGGGGCCTATCTGTTTTATACTAGTTACCAATTTTTATTTAATTGGTCTTCATCTTTTTGTTTTTTATGAGTGTGTTAGCTCCATCATTACAAACTCCTGCCTAAAGTAGTGCAAGACACATGGTGAGTGCTTCCTAGGTCTTTAGTGAATAAATGGGTTGAACAACATGGTAAATCTTATATATGGGTATTAGTTGTGTCCATTGGAGAAATATCTATTCCAACAGCTCACGTATTCCTGCATAACAACTCAGCTAGAGTTCTCTCTTCCCTGTACCAAATTCCTGATTTCCTGAGAAATTTCTCAGGTGACATGGTCTCCAGACTTTTCATCTTTATGACTGTTTTCAATTGATCTTAGCTTGTCACAGTTCTTTGATGCCACAATTAAACAAAATACTCCAGATTTCAGCTGCTCAGCATGGTTGTAATACCCTTATTTCTTCAATCCAGAGAAATAAACAGGGAGCATCTATGTAGCCAAACTGTGAATTTATAATGATGAATGTCTCATATGAGGAGAATAAGGCTTTCAAATCCCTGAAGTCAACTGATCATTTACATATTTAACACATAATTAATAAGCACTTACACCATATAAGATAGTTGTAAGGTGTTTGGGAAACTGAAACGACAACACAGAGTCCCTGCCCTTCTGATGAATGCCTTGTATTTGTAGTGAGAGCCAATGAACAGCAAGCCACCAGATAATTATTAATGGCAAGTGTGTCAAATGTCTCAGAGAAGAGACAAAGGAAGTTGTGAGAGGTGTGGAGTCTTGTTTGTGGGAACAGAGGGGATGACCTAGTATGGAAGGGCAGAGAACATTTATTTACCTGAATACGTAACGGTTGACCAGCAATTCGAAGGATACTAATGAAATTTAGTCATGCTCATCAAAGGGAACAGAGTGTACAAAAAAATTGAGGCAGAAGGAAGTGGAACACATTCTAGGTAAAGAAAGTTAAGGTGAGGGAATAAAAAGGACAAAGAGGTCAGTGGCAATTGACAACATTTCTGATAAATTGTTTGCTAAATATTAGGATAAAAATCAGTGAGTCTTGGCCGGGCACGGTGGCTCACGCCTGTAATCCTAGCACTTTGGGAGGCTGAGGCAGGTGAATCACCTGATGTCAGGAGTTCGAGACCAGCCTGGCCAACATGGTGAAACGCCGTCTCTACTAAAAATATAAAAAATCAGCTGGTCTTGGTGGTGGGCACCTGTAATCCCAGCTACTCGGGAGGCTGAGGCAGGAGAATCACTTGTACTCTGGAGGCGGAGGTTGCAGTGAGCTGAGATTGCGCCATTGCATGCCAGCATGGGCGACAAGAGCAAAACTACATCTCAGGGAAAAAAAAAAAATCAGTGAGTCTTTGTAATAATAATAATATGATTGAAAGGATTGTAAACAGAGACTAACTCAGATTTACACATTTTAACAACTAATTTTCATTTCAGTCGGAGGAGCGATTTGAGAGAGGTAAGAGTGAATGTGAAGATTCAAGTCAGGAAACTGTTACATAAGTGAAAATGGTGGCATCAGTATGGATGAAGAAGAGAAGTGTCCAAGAGACCTTTGGAGGCAAAATTAATAGAATGTGTCAATGGTTAGGTATAAGGAGAATGACTGGATCTGGATAAGAGTCTCTGTTAGTGAATCTGCTGTATGCACTGCTGGTTCATATTCAAGTGACAGTTAGTTAAAATACGTTGATCTAGATATTTATTTATATTTAGAATTAAGTGTTTATTACTTTATACAATTGAATTTGTGATCTTAAATGTGTGTGTGTGTGTGTGTGCTTGAGAGACAGTGTGCAAGAGAGAGAGAGAAGGGAGAGAGAGACACACACAGAGAGACACACACAAAACATGGCGACAGAAAATAACAATTTATTTGTCTCACAAATATGCAATCTGGGGAGTCCTTTTCTGTTGGAATAGCTTGTCTTTTGACACTGTCTTTCAGGGTCATCTTGAATAAACTGGGTGTGAAGGGTCCATGTCCAAGATAGCTCCACCTGTGACTGGCATTTGGCACTAGCTATTGGCTGGGGGCTCAGTAGGAGCCGTAACACAGGGGATGTAGTACCTCTTTACACAGGCCATTCTATAGGGCTGCTTGCTCTTCCACACAGCATTGCAGCTGTCTTTCATAAGTCAGTGTTCGAAAATGTAGGAAAAGAAATCTGTCAGTGTCTTAAGACCTAGGTCTGTAAATTGGTACAGATTCATGTCTGACATTATTCTTAGTCAAACAGTCACTAAGCTTGTTCAGCTTCAAGGTGCTGGTGGAGGGGGGCTGGGCTGGGAGGGAGAGAGCTGAAAAATCACTAGTTCTTAATGTAGTCACCATTCTCAATGAAAGGAATATTAAAGAATGTGTGATATGTGGTGTACACTCTGTTCATTGACATCTTCTTGCTGGATTCTATCATTCAATATGTTAGGTATTATTCCATAATCAATGACATCTGCATATCTGAAGTGATTTCCAAGTCAGTGGCCACTGTTTCAACATAGTGTCAGTGACATACAACTAGAAACATTTCTCCATTATAATGCAAACTTCTAGAGGGCAGGAATATTATCTTATCCCATAATATCAGCCTTTGGACAGCACTTGATAAATATTGTTTTTCTAGCTCACTAATTGAGATCCTTTTAGTTGTTATAGAATGTTATTTAATCAAACAATCCATATTTATCTTTCCTTTCTTCAGGAACATGAGAGATTATTTCAAATACCTTGTAAGAAGAAGAAGCATATGTACTATGCTTACAACATTCTGCTCTGTGACATCCCTAGCAGTAGTTGTTAGATTAATAGTATTATTTCTTAGTATAGCCAGGCTGGTTTCTATTTATCCCCATTTTGTTTTCTATAAATTCACAAACCACCTATTCTGTAACATATTCCATAATTTTTACAGAGACCACTATTAAATTTAAAGTTTATTAAATTTAATAAAGCACGATTTCTAGAATTCAGCCCCTTTTCCCATTTAAAATAAAGCCCGTATTTATCACCTACTACTATTTGTTTCCTGTGTCCACCTATTTTCCAAGATTTTTCAAACGTAGTTGGAAATACTTTAATAAGAACACTTATACTTTCTTTAAGTATACTGTGATGTAATTTTTCTAGACCAGGACATTTGAAAAAATGATAACATACCTAAGGATTCTTTCATTTTCTTGATTTCTTGGGTATTATTTTACTTTTAAACATTGTTGGTCCATGCTTTCAAAGTGAAAAATAATTCTTTTTTGATTGAAGATGGAATCAAAGCAGGAACTGAGTTATGTTTCCTCCTGTTTTCTTATATCATTAAACATTCTGTGCCATGAAGGCAGAACTTTTTTCACACTTCCTGTTATTTTTACACATTTGAAATTTTTTACTTGTTTTATCCTTCTTTATGTGGGCTTCTCTCATTCTAATATCCTTTTTTTAAAAAATCTTAGAATAAGGGTTTCTACTGATACAAATGACTTGTATTATTTTCATCATAATTAATAAGATTTATATATATTATGCATTTTCAGAAATTTATTTTCTTTTAATATTTAAACAAAATTTCTTGAAGTTTTTTTTTTTTTTTTTTTTTTTTTTTTCTGAGACAGAGTCTTACCCTGTGGGCCAGGATGGAGTACAGTGGAGTGATCTCGGCTCACTGCAACCTCCGCCTCCCAGGTTCGAGCAATTCTCTGCCTCAGCCTCCTGAGTAGCTGGGATTACAGGTGCCCGCCAACACGCCTGGCTAATTTTTGTATTTTTAGTAGAGACGGGGCTTCACTATCTTGGCCAGGCTGGGCTTGAACTCCTGACCTCGTGATCCACCTGCCTTGGCCTTCCAAATTGCTGGGAATACAGGCATGAGAGACCGTGCCTGGCCTAAGATAAAATGTTTTATCAAAAATTTCAAGCCTTTTGGGGGGAAATTTGTTTACCAAAGTCCTTTTTATATATGCCTAATTTTTAATACTATGGAGAATTTGACAGTCTCAATTATGGAGAAGACAATTTTATAGTAGGTTTTTCTTTGATTTTACTATTGAAGATTAAATCTCAAGCAGATTCGTCATTTCTATATTAACACTGTCTTTCTATGATCTTAATTGCTTTTCCTAAGGGGAAAATTGGTAAATAGCTTCTCAAAAAGTTCTTTATTTTAAAGCCATCTGACCTACTTAATTGGCTCTTTCAATGTCAACATCTGAAATAATTTCTTTATGTCCTAGAGCCCATTAAGTATTATTGCGAAGTTGATGCTGCCCGGATTGCGGGCATAACACTCAGGTGACATCTTAATCCTTAGGACATTAACTATAAAGCAATTACTCAGTGACTTAAAAAGAAAAACAAACTGGTAATTTGATATCAATTATCTGAATGCATCTTCACATCTTTGTTATAGGAAAGGGAAAGGGATTCAACATGCATTTTATTAATCCTTTTCCCTTTGTGCCTCTCTTGAATCAAACTGAATTAGAAATAATAAAACCTTCACTTTAATCTGTCATTAAGATAAGAAAATGCAGCTCCAGATCAGTTTATTCAGTTTCCCCATAGGCTACGAATGAAGTATCCTCATTGAACAAATGTTACCTTCTGAATAACTGGAGGCATAAAAGAGGAAGAATTTCATGTTTCACACATGCAACTGTATTTTAATTTGACTCAGAATTTCATTTTGCATGCTGTCCTCATTTCAGGGCCCTTGGTAACAACGAAATATATACCAAGCCAATTTTTTCAAAACTAACTTATAAATTAGGAAAAATAATCTAAATTAAGCCCAAATATTGGCAATGATGAATCATTCCATTTATCCACTCTCTATCATTCTATAGCAACAATTTACTGCTGTGTTTCTTGAACTTGTTCCATCATCAGTGTAAACTGGTGTGTTTACTAAAATATGCACACCCTGACATCCTTCCACGAGGATTCTGATTCTTTCGGCTTTTTAGGCTTATATTTTTAACTATAACCACATGTGATTCCTATGATCAGACAAGTTTGAGAAATGATATGCTTTCAGGTCCTTGGTTTATAGATAAGGAAACTGAGACACAAGTCACCAAGAGTGAACAGCCCAGGATTACCCAGAGAGGTAATGACCAAGTTGAAATGAGAATCCAGGTTTTGATGGTCTGTTACTTTTTCACATTTTCAAAACCATTTATATTTGATATATTTTTCTTTAAATTCCTAAGTGAGATAATTATTTATTTTTTTCTCTGGAGTACTTTTTTTAATCATTATATTAGATTACTTGAACAAATTTATGCTGTATTATCTTTTCTTATTTGTTAAGATATAGGCATTATTTCCTGGGACTTGCATTAGAACTGCTTATAGTAGGCACCCTTCAATTGATATGAAGCCACTCTGATTACCTTGTCTTATCTTGGCCCAGATAGAGAGTTGATCAAACATCTTATAACCACTGGAAGTGTTGATGAGTACAATTGAATACTCAGGGAGGCAATCTAATTCCTTTGAAATTAATTAATTAAAATTATAAATGGACTTCATGGAAGTGAAAGAGCTATTCATAGAACTAATAAAATGTTATTAATGCATTCATTTAAGAAGAATATGTGTTATGCTTTTGTTCCAGCAGCACATATGCCATATGTGAAATCTCAAAGGAGATTATCATGGCCCACAGTGCAAAGACAACCAAAACACAGTAGTGAAGCAGTATCGCTTTTGAGACAGACCAAAGTTTGAATTCTGACCCAGCCTCCTATGACTTTGTAGACTTGGACAAATCATTTTACACCAAATTTTAGTATTTTTTAAAAAAGAATTATTAGGATAATACTGCTTATTTTATATTATTAATATAAAGATTAAGAATAACATAGGAAATGCCAAATACAGTGGCAGAAGTCAAAGGAACTTTAAGAAGTGGTAACTATTAGTGCTGTTGACAAGCATATCGTATGACTCTGGGTTAAACACAGAGGAAGTAAAGACAAATACGAAAAGCTCCTGTTCTTAAGGCAAAGGAAAGTTTTGATCTGAAATATTGGAGATAGCACTGAGCGGAGTGAAAGAAAATGGTTCTATATTTCACATAGTAACAATGGTCTAGACACTACTTCATTTCATTTCATTTAGCCTAGACACTACTTGCCTTATCAAATATATCAAGCACTCAGCAAAGTTAAAAAGAGCATATATATATATATGCATTAAGCAGTTGTCTTGAGGCACTAACTTTTATGAGAACTTTTCAGAACTTAGAGATAACCAGGAGTCTGACTGGTTATCTGTAAGTTCTGAACATGTTTAAATTGATTTCAAAGATATTATGTATATGATAGGGTTGATTTATGATTTTACAAGTAACATTTAAAACACAAATCTGTCCTTATTTCTGAATATAATGCCTAGTTATAAGTGACATATAAAACCAGCATTCAGATATATCCCGAATTATGTCAAAGAATTTTATTTAATCAAACTTGGGTAATGAAAAATTAGCCCATAATTCAGGAAAAATGTTAGAATTTTAAATTCAAAATTTGATTTCTTTCTGTGAAAATAGAAATAATAAACTCAAAATATCTATTAAATATCAAAGTACTCACAGAAATGAGAAAGTAGTACTGGAATCTGTAAACCTACTTTTCATTCTTGATTATTTAATAGTAATCACCTTAATTCTCAAGAGTGGCAAAATAATGGAGTCAAGACATGTGTTAACTATAACAATTTCATGTTTATTTCAATCTACATGATTAAAAGTTTGCTGAAAGAGGCATTGAATGTAAAGTTTTATTCTGAGGTGAACATTTCTAGCTAATGTCAGACTACTTTTAACCTTCTGAAAAACACTTACAGCATATGACTTTGGCAGTATAATTGAGTGTTTCTGTAGTAAGTCTCAAGTAATTAGAAAATTAAATTTCTGTCATGTGCTTACAGTAAAGAGCAGATTGTAATCATCATTAAAAACTTAGATCATAAAAATTAAAATTTAAGGTTAAACTCTATAGCTGTTATTAGGCACTGAAGTTTCAAAATGTGTTAAGTGGTGTTCTAGGATCATTACTATGTGTTACTAAATTGCAACATTCTTTCTAGGCAGTTATTATGTGTAAGAGTTAATTTGTTACAACTACCAGTATTTTCATTTCCTAAAATTTGTGGATTCTGTCAATTACTTTAATGCAAAAAGAAAACAGGACTGGAAACTTTGGGAGAGAAGATTATACATGTTGTGGGACAAATACATCTTATTCTTCTGAGTCTCTGTAAATAATCACTATGTAGCAAAGACATCAAATTCTCACATCTATGCCCATGGAGTTCATAAAAAATTGTGAAATTCCATTAGAATTCAATAGAAATTTTAGAATCAGATCAGCTCTCCTGTTAGGTAAAGAAAATTGATGTTGATACCTAAACAGCATATAAGATCTGGAATAATATATCAAAAGAGGTTTCTTTCCAACTTGTATATTTTCCTCATGTCTGTTGGAATGTGAAATGGAACCAGATTCTAGGTTTAACAAACCTAAATTTTGATCAAATTCCTATATCATCCATTTGACAAATTTGACACTTTAATTTACTCTTTCTTTTTAACATAAGCATTCCATTTCTATCTAGATGATGATGTTGATAGATAGATAGATAGATAATGATATTAATAGGAGTTCTCTATGTCTCCTGATATCTTAATAAGAATGCTTAAAAAACCCAATTTCATACTTGTGGAAATTACAAACCCCTCAACACACAATTTGACATTGCACATTAGACATTCATGTTCCTAAAATTTTCTTTAATTATAGCCCTTTTTCTTTTCCATATTCTTTTCTCCAATTTCTTCTCATTTCCTCCAGGAAAAAATGAGCAAAAATTTATTTTATCTTCTCTTGTAATCCTTGTACCTCTGTCATCAAATCACACTGCCAAGCAACCCACTAATGCATTTTTCCAAAGATATTTATTTCCTCCCTGAGAAACGTTATGGCGCCAGCTATAATTAATTTAAATACTGCATAAATAAATCAATATCAACATTGGTATTGATATTGCTGATTATATTTTGCGTATCATCTTGGCTAAGAGGGTTAATTCCGAAATTAGAATCCTGGGTTTAATTTGTAGTATTACCACTTACTCATTTAAGGTTTTTAACTTTTATTGAAACTTGATTTCTTCAACAGTAAGGTGGAGTGGGATAAATAGTCCTCACATTGGACAGTTGTTGTGGAATTAATCGTAAGGAGTATTAGTACTGATTACCATCCCAGCCAATCATAGTCAGTTTCCTTAAATATAAAATGGAAATAATAATACCACCTACTTCCTAAACTTATTATGATGTATAAGTGAAAAAAATGCAACTAAAATGCTAACACAATTCATGGTTCACATTAGTGAGTAATATATTTTATTGCTACTACAATTAGCAATAAACGGTGGTAACACCATTTTTCTATACACAGTATCTCTTTAATATATCTAGCAATTAATTCTAACAAATAATTATTTATATTATTTTAATAATATTTTTACAAATAATATGAAACCAGATAGTTTATTATTAACCATCCTAGAAACAAGCATTTCTACTGGGTCCACATGTTCAAACTCAAGCATTAGCATTTATTTAATAGATAAATTAAAAATATCTAGTAAGAAACACACACTCTCCATTTCATGGTTTTAGATGTCCAAACCATTATTTAGTAGTAAATTTCACATAAAAAGAAGATAATTTGTAATTCTTGTTACTCATGCATCTAAATGTTTATAATAGGAGGACAGTCTTCTGGGGATAGTCTTCATAGATTACTGTTTCTTATACAATTGGACCCCTAAACAATGTGCAGGTTAGGGGCACTGACACAAGAGCAGTGAAAAATCCATACATTACTTTTGATGCCCCAAATCTTAACTACTAATATAACCTACTGTTGACTAGAATCTTTACAGATTATATACACACTTGATTAACATATAGACTAGTATTTACATATATTTTATGCATTAATGACATACGTTTTTCTTACTGTTTTTGGTATTTCTAGACTGCATGGTTCATCTGAGTTTTTTTTCAAATTGTCACAAATCTCCAAAAATTCTTTCGATATATTTATTGAAAAAACATCTGCATATAAACGGATCTGCACAGTTCAAACCCATGTTGATCACAGGTCAACTGCATATTTATACTATGTGTATCTTGACAAGGCTAATGCAAAGAGCAGTCAGACAAGGAAAACATTAATTATGGTATTAAACTGAATCAAAATAATTAACTTAGAAAACTATAGGTAGTTTTCTATGTATTATATAGAAAGATTAAGGTATATCTAGCATCTGTTAAAGAAATTGTAACCAGAAAGAGAGAATAACTTAAATGGTGCAAAAGCCATTTCCAAAACTAAATACTTTGGCTACGTTCATACTCATCTCCTTAGTTCAGCTCTTGAAGCAGTGATCTGGAAATTATTCCTAAAGGTCTTTGCTTATTAAAATGATTTGCTATTATAGCAATAACACAATCTTATTGTAGATAGCATCTGAAAGAATCAGTGCAATCCTCTACATCTTGCCTCCAAGTCTAGGGTTTTTCATTTTTTTTTTAATACATCACTCTATTCTCCTGGCTAAGTTCATATCCTCTTGGTTTAAAGCCAATTTTTAATTGAATTCAGTTAGTTTAATTGCTCCTCAGAGATGTCCATAAAATGTGCTCTCCCAGATTTTCTAGCAGAAATGCCATTGTCTCTGCTCAGCATTCCCAAGCAGACAGCAAAACTGCCATCAAGCTCCATCTTGCTCAACAATGACTCTTTAATGTGGTCATCTTGTGTGCTTTGTATTTCAATTATAATTTAGAATGAATTAAAATCTATTTAAATGGATAGCATCATCTCTTAGTACTTGATGGAAATTCATTTCAGAACATTCTATCTCCTTAAGGTAGCACAGTAAAAAAGTATGTCATCCTTTACATCATTAATTTTATGTCATCAATTTTATTTTCCTTATAATTTAATCCTACATTTTTATTGATTTTCATTAACCAAATAAAATACAGTGATGTGTTTGTTTCATATACTCTCCATAACTGAAGCATCAAAGTTTTACTCAAAGATAAATTTAGAAGTCCAGATTTCTGTATTCTGATATTATAGAACAGATTTTAGAATCAGGGATCTCATGAAAGCAAGTCAAGTTATTTTCTGTGGTACTGAAGCATAATATTGTTTCAACATAAAAATATCTCATGTAATGAAGTCTAAGGTTACAACATCATTTATACTAATGAACATCATGTTAGAGTTTCACAATTTATAGTTTATGAAGTAGTCGTTTCACATGTATTTGATCACTTATATCAACTCTGTGAAACACAAACAAACAAACAAACAAGAACAGCATTATTATTCCCGGTTTATAGATTAGGAATTAGCAAACTTGGGCCAAATCTGACCAGCAACATATTTGTGTAAATAACTGTAGCAGATCACAGCCATGCCCAGTCACTTATATGTTATTTATGGCTGTTTTGGAGCTACAAGCCAGAGTTAAGTACTTGTGACAGAAGCTATAGGGTCCACAAAGCCTTACATGGAAAATTCTGCAGGCAGAGTAGGCTGGAAACTAGCACACTGAATCCAACACTGTTGGAAATCTGAAGCCTAATTTCATCACCAAGCAAGTGTTCCACATATGCCTAAGTTACTCTGTCTTTTAGCCAAATGTCTGAGATGGACATGATAGAGATAGCACATAGAGACTTTCTTTCCTTTTCCTTCTCTCCTGACAACTTATGTTTATTTGACCCCTCAGATAGTAAATTCCATTAGGTATATTTTCATTGTAATCTGAAGAAAACTCATTATTCCTGTTCCTGCTGACAAGTCCTTTAGACTGATTTGTAAAATATACCATAATAAAGTCTTTTATAAGATAATTTGAAATAGCATTTACTTTTGAGGAAGGTAAACCAGGTCATTCATCCTTTTCTGTTACTACAGTCCATTCGCTAGTTTTTGTCCACATTCTAATTCTTATAAACACTGACTCTACATTATTCTTAATTTAATATTTTCATAAATTTGTAATTTAACACTAGGAAAAATGTGTCCTATTTATAAATCCTCTTGAAAATATAAAATGCAAATTGCATTTTTATAGTTTAGAGATCATTGGAAGACATACGAAATTTTAAATGTTTTAAATTGTTTTATTTTACTAGATAATTAAAAATTCCAAATACAATGTTTTAATAGGAAAGAATATACCTGTTTTCGGAAAAGAGACACTTTAGCATGGGATCTATGGATAGGCTCCAAATAGACTGAAATCTAACTTAGAATTCCATTCCCTTTATTATACCCTATACATTCACCACTGATTTGATAATATTTGTTTAGCATCCATTATGTTCCAAGCATTATTTTAGGTCCTGTGATACAGCAATGAACAGAATAGAAAAGTTCTCAGATCTCTAGATGCATATGCCATGTGGTGCTAAGTGCTATGATTATGAGTAAACCCACGTAGAGGAGTAGAGAGTGACGGAGA
The DNA here is from genome assembly GCF_000001405.40 of Homo sapiens. Taxonomy (NCBI): domain Eukaryota; kingdom Metazoa; phylum Chordata; class Mammalia; order Primates; family Hominidae; genus Homo; species Homo sapiens. Next base: position 68,614,287 of record NC_000006.12, on the reverse strand, counting down.
AGGTGGGGTCAGCTGTTTTTTACAAGTGGTCAAGAAAGGCCTCTGTGGTCTTTGAGAAGAGACCCAAAGTAGTGAGTGCAGGACAGTTTCTGTGTGACCTTGGCTGACCAGGCTCCCCACCCTTTTTCTTCCTTGAAGTTGGTAGAATAACTGTAGAATATGCTGTGGATGCAACATCCTGAGATAAGGGGAAGTGGCTGGAAGAGCCCAAGCTCTGTTCCTGTACCCCCAGAACAATTTAGCCCAATGCATAAGGTACTCTGGGGTGTAAAACCCAGCGAGGAATGTTTTCAGGGTCTCTCACCTGCAGCACAATGTGAGACACATGCAGAAAAGACTCCATCTGCCCTGGACAGCCTTCCTGAACAGCTGGCCATTAGTCTTAGGCTTTTACTGTCCCCTACTACTTCTCTGTGAGTGAGAAGTTGCTTCACTTAACTTGTTTGTATGAGTGCTGTTCCACTGAACTCACACAAGTGAATTAAAACCAGTCCATGGTATTGGTGAGGTGTTTACAGTCCTCCTCTGGAATTGATACTGGGGCACAGTGAACCTGCTTCACCATAAGGAATTCAATCCGTCTTGTATCTGAAGCCAGAGGTATTTGAAATGGTAGAGATAATAAGTGCCAAGGCATGAGCTAGATAGACATTTGCTTACTGTGTTTTTGGTACAAGAAAGTTTGAACGAAAAGGGGAGTTGATGGAAGATACAGTCAGAGAGAACTATGTGGCCCAACACTGAGCTTCCAAACAAACAAAAAAACTGTCCTTGTCCTCCAGGGCACCACTGTGCTCTGTGCCCTAAAAGCTGCCGTCTAGACTCCTTGAGCTGTTGCAGGCTCTTCTCAGGCCATTGTGTTACATTTTACCACACAAATGAGAGGTTTCTGGGATTTATCAGATAACTCACTATCTTATTTCAATAAACACCATGATAATTAAAATCATTTTATTTTCTTATTCCAAGTCTCTGTTCATGGGTTGACACTTTTGAAACATTTTACTATCTTATTAATAAAGTCAGATGTTTAATGTCATTTTCTCTTAACTATACATTACTTTTTAGGTTTGCCCATACTTTCCTTATATTTACTTGAACATTTTGTTTCTCTTTATAACTATTTCTTTAGTGGACTAATGTGTCCCATTTTTAACTTATTTCCACAAATAAATTATGATGATATATGGTGATACAGGTTTCATATATGTTTAAATCACTTCAGCTTATAAATTAAAGTTTATTTTGGAGACTAAAATTTAGGCATCACTTTCTTCTACAGAATAGTAATGGGTGAATAATTTCTTCATGTTGCATATTTCTTGATTTATGAATGAGATTCTTTAGAGTTGTGAACAGAAATTACATATATATGTATATATATAATTTCACAAGGAATGTTTGTTTTTAAAAAATATGAACAGTTCATAGTTTGAAGAAGAAAATATTCAGAACTAAACAAAATAAGATTTTTGTTTACAATTATTCATATTGTTGCCTATGCATAAATACATGAGAATATATGTACACAGTTGTATCATCCTGTATATATTTTGTAACATACTTTCTTAAGTGGAAAAGAAAATTTAAATGCTTCATTGAAGTGATATATTTTGCCTTTCAACTTGAAAGCAATTGAATAGAAAAGCTGATACTAGAGTATGAAACCATTTATGTAATCCTAAAATTCAAAATTATTTTATATATACAACACAGAAAACAAACATAACAGTTTCAAGATAGGGTTTACCACCAGAAAAGGAGGACAGAAAAAAGGAGAGTGGTGTGAATGTTCTTAAAGCTATCCGTTGAGTGTTATTTTTTGATATAATAATCTTTGAGACTAAATAATAAATAAATAATTGTCCTAAAACATTACTTTTAAAATCTTATTCCCCAATTTAGAAAATTTCAAACTGTAAAATTTAACATCTGTTAAATCTTACTATATATTTCTCACTTCTTTCATGAAAATTAAAACTTTCTACCAATAACATTTAAAAATATATATATTTGGTATTTCTTTAAAAACTTTTTTCTACATCTTCATTTTAATGGCCACATAAAATTCCATCATATGAATGTGCTATAATCTGTTTAAACCTTCCGCTATGTGTGATCATTTTGAATGTTTTCAGTACTTTGGTACTAGTAACCATATTGCAGTGATAAACTTTTTACCCAGTTCTACTGATATTTAAAAATAAGTCCTTTCTGAGTGAAAATGATAAACATGTCTAAGGACTTTCATATATTTATATTGCCAACTTATCAAATGCCATAAATGAGTCTGTGTTAATTTCTACTCTAAATAACAATAAGAGATAGTGATCAATTTAATAAACCATCTACCAAGCAGTAGTTAGTATTTAAATAGTTTTCTATTGATATGAAATTAAGACAAATCATTTCTTAAAATATCATTTAGTGAGGATTAACTTATTTTCATGTGTTTATTAACTATTTACACTTCTTCAATGTAGTACAGTGGTTAAGGGCAAGGCCTTCACAATCAGAGATAAATGAGTTTGAGAACAAGTTCTGATATCATTGGATGTATTCCCCTGGATGAGTTAATTAATCTCTCTAGGTCATTATTTTCTTTTATGCACACAAATTGTATTTTATTGTTTGCTAGGGCTGCAGTAACAAAGGAAAACAAACTAGGTGGCTTACAGACAGAACTTTATCATCTCACAGTTCTGAAGCATACAAATTCAAATCAAGGTGTTGGCAAGGTTGGTTCCTTCTGAGGGTTGTTAGGGAAGGATCTGTATTTTCCTTTCCAAAGTCTCTAGACAATTTCCAATATTTTATTGGGTATGGATAAAAAGTGGATAAATTATTCTTAAAAACAATTTGGTTCATCAAAAGACAATGTTCAGAAAAGGAAAATGCAAACATGGAGAGGAAGAAATTATTCACAATCTGCATGTGAATATTTACTAACAGGTTTAAATGTAACCCATGGAGGATTTTAAATGTTTGTAACTAAAAGGCTAGCCTCAATAATTGCCCAGCTTGAATTTTTATCAACAATTCAGACAAGAAGTTGATTTTAAAAGATAGTTGTAAAAGGTTAAAAATATATCAGCTATGCATATAAGAGCTTTGATATGGACAAAGAAAAAAGATGACCAAGGTCTCATCTTTACTAATGACCTAGTGTCCTGGAATTAGAAGACACTTAGTTTCCTCAATCTTTGATATAGACCAAAAAGAAAATGGCAAAGGAAATGATTGAAGCCAGAAGACTGGTAAATTAGGAGAGCCAGGTGCTCTGGATTATGCTGCAGGTTCCCATTGGCTACTTTGCACCTCTCCAATCAAGACTGTTTTTTGTTGCCAGAATAAATGTCCTATAACATTATTTTTAGAATCTTATTTCGCAATTTAGAAAACTTCAACTACACAAAATGCGCACTTCTCTGTTATTGTTTCAAGACGTTTCATAATCTTTTTTCACCCTCTCCTTCCAGGCACATTAAGCTTCTCTGGAGTTGGAACTATTTATTTTACCAACCCACAAATGCATCATGATAATTTCTCTCTCTAATTCCCTTTCCAGGTTATTCCCTAGCCATAAATTAAATTGGGTTCAATAAATATATTCACTGAACTCATCTTTTATATAAAACACTGTGAGAGACACTAAAATGAATCAAAACACTGCCCTCACTGTTGCACATAGTGTCTTTTACATGCCAGCTGCTGAGAAGATACACGAGGTAAAGAATGAAGAAATGAACAGTTATTATAACTTTCTGTCTTACACCTTGCCCCTTCATTTTTGAAAAAAGTAAAAATATCAAGATTCTTTTATTCTATGAAGGCTTTCTTAACTACTCCAATTCTTTATAATTTATTTATGTTAGAGCTCTTTCAGTCTGTACTCCTTGCTATTAAACTGGCGATCCAAGGGCCCATAGTACATTATGCAGACTCTCAGGCTCCACTGCTAACCCACCAAATCAGAATCTGCCTTTTAATAGAATCTCCAGTGAGATACACACACACACACACACACACACACACACACACACACACATATATCCAGTGACATGCATATGTGTGTATATATATATAAAAGCACTTGTCATACCATAGAATTTGCCATTTTTTGGTATATAATTCTGAATTATTGTGATTTGTCATTAAGCCCCAGAATCCCCTTGTGGCCCTAAATAAATGCTTGCTTATTGATCACATTGAGAAAATGACAGAACTGTAATAATTCACAAACACAACATAAAATACTTAGTAGTGGTGAGAAATGTAGTCCTATAACTCCACCACAATAACCAAAAGAAATTAATAATAATACAGTAAGATATAGTTTATTTTGAGAAAAAATTAAATTTCCTAATAATGTTCTTCATAACTTTTATAAAACATTCAGACTTCAGTGATATATAAAGCATAGAATTTAGGTGTAGTCTCCTTTTATCTGGAAGAGCCACTCCCTTCCATTTATGCCTTTCATGATGTTGGTGTTGATATTTTTCAAAAATTTCAGACCATTTGTCTGATACTTGAATTTGTCTGAATACGACCTGTATTAGGCTTCTCTAGAGGGAAAGAACTAATAGGATATAAAGGAATTTATTAAGTATTATTAATTCAAACGATCACAAATTCCCACAATAGGCTGTCTACAAGCTAAGGAGCAAGGAAGCCAGTTCGAGTCCCAAAGCTGAGGAACTTGGAGACTGATGTTCAAGGGCAGGAAGCATCCAGCACAGGAGAAAGATGTAGGCTGGGAGGCTAAGCCAGTCTAGCCTTTTCACATTTTTTTTTTTTTTTTGCCTGCTTTATATCCTAGCCTCACTGGCAGCTGATTAGATGGTTCCCGTGCAGATTTAAGGATGGGTCAGCCTCCCCCAGCCCACTGACTAAAATGTTAATCACCTTTGACAGTACCCTCACAGACACAGTCAGGATCAATACTTTGCATCCTTCAATCCAATCAAGTTGACACTCAGTATTAACCATTACAAGTCTGCCTCTTGTCAACTTGAACCCATGCACATCTCCAGAGATCATACATCACCTTCAAATAAAGACAATAATGTCATAATTACATCAAACTTAATACAACTCTCCTTTGTACAACCAGAAATGCACCAATCCCCAATCAAATGCTATTCCATAAAGTTAACAATACTTAAGTGCTGAAGTGAAATAAATAAATCTTATGTCACATGATAAAGGAAGAAGAAAATAAAATGAAGCTGTTTTAAGTACAAGTGTATACATGCACAAACATGTTTTTAACAAAAGAAGGAGGAAATACTCATGACATTTATAATCCTCGTTTCTGCAGCTGGTCACGTGGTCATAGCTGGTATTGATTACTACCTTCTACCACCTGTTCTGTATTCCCTTTGCCTTTAGCAAGCAGGTTGTGGTTTTTTTTTCCTGGTGGAGTGACCCAAATCTTCATTCCTGAAGGGTCTGGGTCATTTGTAGCCCTGCCTAGATTGGGCTGTTGTAGTTTCCCATTGACCTTAATCACAGGGCATGGTAATACTAAGAGCAACCCTAAGGGATCTCCTGTATTCCATGAGTACTCTTCCTTACCTCCACTGTGGAGTAGTAGACTGATTTCATCTTGATAGCCTGGGTCAATCACCGCAGCCAACACTGTAATTCCTTTCTTAGCCTGTTGACTTAAAGGTAGAAGGAGCCCAAAGTGTCCAGGTGGCAATCTTAACTTCCAGTTTAATGGAATGATTGTTGTGTCTCCTGGTAGCAGCCTTCCTCCATCTGATACTACAACCTCTAGGCCAGTAGAACATAATTTCATGGAAACAGGAAGCAAAAATTTGCTAGTGGATCACTAGGGGTGATCATGAATGGTGCCACTTCCACTTTCATCCCTTGATTCCTGGACCTGTGAATCCTGGCTATGGGAGATACAGTATCATATATTGGAGGTTGATTCAGAGCATACATGGCCTTCTGGAGAACTTTGCCCCAGTCCTGCAAAGTATTGTCGCCTAGTTGGCATTGCAATTGTGACTTCAAAAGGCTATTCCACTGCTCTAACTATCCAGCTTCTTCAGAAGGATGAGGAACATGGTAAGACCAGTGAATTCCATGAGCATGAGCTCACTGTTGTACTTCTTTAGCTGTAAAATGAGTGCCTTGGTCAGAGGCAATGCTGTGTGGAATACCATAATGGTGGATAAGGCATCCCATGAGTCCACAGATGGTAGTCTTAGCAGAAGCATTTTGTGTAGGATAGGCAAACTCATATCCAGAGTAAGTGTCTATTCCAGAGAGGACAAACCTCTGCCCTTTCCATGATGGAAGAGGTTCAATATAATCAACCTGCCACTAAGTAGCTGGCTGACCACCCCAAGGAATGGTGTCATATCGAGGGCTCAATGTTGGTCTCTGGTGCTGGCAAATTGAGCAAATTGGCAAACTCAGCAGTGGCCGTAGCTGGTTCAGCTTGGTGAGTGGAAGTCCATGTTGCTGAGCCCATGCATAACCTCCACAGTTGCCACTATGGCCGCTTTGTTCATGGGCCCATTAGGCAATGGCAGGGGTAGTTGGGGAAAGAGGCTGAGTGGTATCCACAGATCCAGTTATCCTATCCACTTGATTATTAAAATCCTCCTCTGCTGAGGTCACCCGTTGGTGAGCACTCACTTGGGATATGAATATCTTCATAGTTTTTGACCACTCAGAGAAGTTCATCCTCATACCTCTTCCCCAAATTTCTTTGTTATCAATTTTCCAATCATGCTTCTTCCAAGTCCCTAACCATCCAGTCAAACCATTGGCTAAAGCCCATTAATCAGTGTATAATCACACATCTGGCCATTTCTCCTCCCATGCAAAGTGTGCTGCTCGACATTCTGCCCACTGGGAAGACTTCCCTTCGCTGCTCTCCTTCAGGGATGTCCTAGAAAGGGACTGTAGTGCTGCAGCTGTCTACTTTCAGGTGGTGCCTGCATATTGTGCAGAACCATCTGTGAATCAGGCTCTAGCATTCTCTTTCTCTGCCTTCTGATCATAGGGAACTCCCTATGAGACCATTGGTGAAGACTGGGGAAGAGAAGGCAGGGTAACAGGCGCAGAGACCAGGGGCATTTGAGCCACTTCCTCATGTAACTTACTTGTGCCCTCAGGACCTGCTCGAGCCCAATCACGTATATACCACTTCCATTTGATGATGGAACGCTGCTGTGCATGACCCACTTTATGGCTACATTGGTCAGAAAGCACCCAGTTCATGATAGGCAGTTCAGGTGGCTTGATGACCCATATTCAAATATTCAGTTTCAATCAAAGCCCAGTAACAGGCCGGGAGCTGTCTTTCAAAAGCAGAGTAGTTATCTGCAGAAGATGGCAGGGCCATGCTTCAAAATCCTAGAGGCCGCCGCTGTGATTCACCTATGGGGGGCCTGCCAAAGGCTCCAAACAGCATCCTTATCTGCCACTGACACCTCACACACCATTGGATCTGCTGGGTCATATGACCCCAGTGACAGAGCAGCTTGCATAGCAGCCTGGACATGTGGTGGAGCCTTCTCTCATTCTGGACCCCATTCAAAACTGGAAGCCTTTCAGTTCACTTGATAAACAGGCTAGAGTAACACAACCAAATGAGGAGTATGTTGCCTCCAAAAACCAAATAGGCCCAGTAGGCATTGTACCTTTTTCTTGGTTGTAGGAGGGACCAAATGCAGCAACTTATCCTTCACCTTAGAAGAAATCTCTTAACAGGCCCTACACCACTGGACCCCTAAAAATTTTGCTGAAGTAGAGGGTCCCTGAATTTTAGTCAAATTTATTTCCTATCCTCTGGCACACAAATGTCTCACCAGTCAGTCCAGTGTGTTTGCTACTTCTTGCTCAATGATCCAGTCAGCATAATGTCATCAATGTAATGGATCAGCTTGATATCTTGCGGAAGTGAAAAGCAACCAAGGCCTCTCTGAATAAGATTGTGACACAAAGCTGGAGAGTTGATACACCCCTGAGGTAGGACAGTAAAGGTACATTGCTGGCCTTGCTAGCAGAAGGCAAATTGCTTCTGGCAGGCCTTATGGTCAGGAATGGAGGAAAAGGCATTTGTTAAGTCAATGGCTGCATACCAGGTACCAGGAAATGTGTTAATTTGCTCAAGCAATGAAACCACATCTCATATAGCAGCTGCAGTTGGAGTCACAACTTGGTTAAGCTTATGATAGTCCTCTGACATTCTCCAAGATCCATCTCTCTTCTGTACAGGCCAAATAGGAGAGTTGAATGGGGATGTGGTTGAACTCACCACCCTTGTGTCTTTAAAGTCGTTGATGGTGGCACTAATCTCCACAATCCCTCCAGGGATGCAATCTTGCTTTTGATTTACTAGTTTTCCAGGTAGAGGCAGCTCTGATGGCTTCTATTTGGCCTTTCCCACCATAATAGCCCTCACTCTACCAGTCAAGGGGTCAATGTGGGGGTTCTGCCACCTGCTAAGTATTTCTATGCTAATTATGCATTCTGGCACTGAGGAAATGACCATAAGATGAGTCTGGGACCCACTGGACCCACTGTAAGTTGGACCTGAGCTAAAACTCCATTAATTACCTGACCTCCATAAGCCCAATTTTAACTGGAGGACCACAGTGATGTTTTGGGTCCCTTGAAATCAATGTCAGCTCATAGCCAGTGTATGGCAGTCCCCATAATGTCTGATCATTTCCCTTTTCCCAGTGCACAGTTACCCTGGTAAAAGGCTGGAGGTCTTCTTGGGGAAGGAAGAAAGATTAACAGCATAAATTGTCGGTACTATAGGGGGTCCTTCCTCAAGAGGACCCCGGCCTCCCCTTCATTCAAGGGGTTCTGGGTCTGTAAACTGGCTAAAGTCTGGAAACTGACTGAGAGGCCATTATACTCTGTTTTATAATTCAAATTAGTCTTTTTTTCCATTCAACCTGAAAGTTTTCTGCTTATATAAATTAAGTAGAAATGCAACAGGCATCCTATCAATTTCACTTCTAGGAACACCATGATTAATTAGTCAATGCCAGAGCTCTACAAGAGTCAAACCATTCTGATTGCTGCTTTGCCTATGCTGTCCATTATGGTAGCTACAACCACCTTGCCGTTGACTGTTGAGTGACGCCACTTGGCCCCTGCCACCTAGGAATCCAATTATTCCCATTGTATGTATTTATTTATTATTATTATTATTATTATTATTATTATTGTTTTTGAGACAAAGTCTCAATCTGTCACCCAGGCTTGAGTGGAGTGGTGTGATCTCGGATCACTGCAACTTGCACTCCATCTCCCAGGTTCAAGTGATTCTCCTGCCTCAGCCTCCCAAGTAGCTGGGATTATAGGCACCCACCACCATGGCTGGCTAATTTTTGTATTTTTAGTAGAAATGAGGTTTCACCATATTGCCAGGCTGGTCTCAAACTCCTGATCTTAAATGATCTGCCCACCTCATCCTCCCAAACTGCTGAGATTATAGGCATAAGCTACCTTGACCAGCCCCATTGTATTTAAATTTTGTAGTTGTGTGACCGTGGTCCCCATGGTTGGATCTGACGCACAGATAAAAGCAATTACAGGGCTCTTCAAAAATGCAGGTGTTGCCCTCACAAATCTATTTTGCAAAGCACTGGTCAAGGGTATATCATCTGGACCCTCCCAGCTGGGATGAATAGGTCTAAAGTGACTAATCCACTCCAATGTCCCAACATCCCTAAGCCTTTGCATCCCTTTCTCTACATTAAAGCAAGGGAAATCAGGCATTTTAAGCTCACTCGCAGTGAGACACCATTTAATCCATATTTCAGCTAGACAAGCAAATAAACTATTAGGACATTTTTTTAACTCCTCAAGCTGCAACATTAAATTTGGGACTTTAGTCTAGTTATAGGTCTAGAAGCAAACAGGGCTGTTGGGGGTGGGTCCTGTGGAGAATCAACATTGTCTTGCCTGGCAACTGCCTCAGGGGAGGCCACCACTGTTGTCTCGGGCAGCACAGGGTTTATACCCTCAGACAAAGGTGGAAAAGCTGATGGCAGCATAGGTCTGGGAGGGGTGGTTGCTACTACTAGGCATGGGAAAGCTGTTTCTTCTGGCAAAAATAAGTTTCATCAGAATTTACAAGCTCAGTGTCCACAGCTTCATCAGGGCCCTCCCACACATCCCCATTCCAAGTTGCAGGGTCCCATTCTTTTCCAATCAATGCCTTCACTTTAATAGTAGACAACTGATGAGGCTGAGCATGCACCTTTTCTTGCAGGTTAGCCACTCACACGATAAGAGCTTGTGTCTGTTTTTTTTTTTCACAATTTCAGCTCTTTCTCTACAGGTGATAAGACTTTCCCTCAGGGCAATCTTAGCAGATTTGAGGCTCAGTATCTGCTTCTGAAGCCAGGAGATAGAATCCCTGAGTTCATAATTTTCTTTCCTCACTTTGTCCAGTGAACTTAGGAGCAACCAACCAACTTCATTATGTTCCTTGGCTTTCCACGTAAAGTCAAAGGTATTATGTATAGAGTCACAAAACTCCTTGCCTCTCATGAGCAGTGAATCAAGACTGTCAAATGCATTTATTTTGCATAACTCTTTAAACAGTTCATGCCAAGGACTATCAGTGTTCTCCATGCTATTGGAAGTAGAGTCCTTAGCTTTTTTTGGGTCTAATCATATTAAGCAGCCAACTCCAGAAACCCCAAAACCAATGAAAATACTCCATCCTTAATATTCTGTTCCTCTAGAACCACTCCTGCTCCCAAAATCTGTATTAGTGAGGGTTCTCTAGAGGAACAGAACTAATAGGATATATATATCATATTTATCCTTTATATATCATATTTATCCTTTATATATATTTCCTCTGTATATATGGTATGTATACATATATATACACACACATATACAGTTTCAAGCGGAATTTATTAAGCAGTATTAACTCACATGATTAAAAGGTGCCACAACAGGCTGTCTGCAAACTGAAGAGCAAGGAATCCAGTCTCAGTCCCAAAGCTGAAGAACTTGGAGTCTGGTGTTTGAGGGCAGGAAGCATCCAGCACGGGAGCAAGATGTAAGCTAGGAGGCTAAGCCAGTCTAGCCTCCTAGACTGCGGCTTTTACATTTTTTTTTCTGCCTGCTTTGTATCCTGGCCTCACTAGCAGCTGATTAGATAGTGCCCACCCAAGTTAAGGATGGATCTGCCTTCCCAGCCCATTGACGGAAATGTTAATCACCTTTGAAAACACCCTCACACTATGTTGAATAGGAGTGGTGAGAGAGGGCATCCCTGTCTTGTGCCAGTTTTCAAAGGGAATGCTTCCAGTTTTTGCCCGTTCAGTATGATATTGGCTGTGGGTTTGTCATAGATAGCTCTTATGATTTTGAGATACATCCCATCAATACCTAATTTATTGAGAGTTTTTAGCATGAAGGGTTGTTGACTTTTGTCAAAGGCCTTTTCTGCATCTATTGAGATAATCATGTGGTTTTTGTCTTTGGTTCTGTTTATATGCTGGATTACATTTATTGATTTGCGTATATTGAACCAGCCTTGCATCCCAGGGATGAAGCCCACTTAATCATGGTGGATAAGTTTTTTGATGTGCTGCTGGATTTGGTTTGCCAGTATTTTATTGAGGATTTTTGCATCAATGTTAATCAAGGATATTGGTCTATTTGGTTGTGTCTCTGCCTGGCTTTGGTATCAGGATGATGCTGGCCTCATAAAATGAGTTAGGGAGGATTCCCTCTTTTTCTATTGATTGGAATAGTTTCAGAAGGAATGGTACCAGTTCCTCCTTGTACCTCTGGTAGAATTCAGCTGTGAATCCATCTGGTCCTGGACTCTTTTTGGTTGGTAAGCTATTCAACATAGTGTTGGAAGTTCTGGCCAGGGCAATTAAGCAGGAGAAGGAAATAAAGGTATTCAATTAGGAAAAGAGGAAGTCAAATTGTCCCTGTTTGCAGACGACATGATTGTATATCTAGAAAACCCCATCGTCTCAGCCCAAAATCTCCTTAAGCTGATAAGCAACTTCAGCAGTCTCAGGATACAAAATCAATGTACAAAAATCACAAGCATTCTTATACACCAATAACAGACAAACAGAGAGCCAAATCATGAGTGAACTTCCATTCACAATTGCTTCAAAGAGAATAAAATACCTAGGAATCCAACTTACAAGGGACGTGTAGGACCTCTTCAAGGAGAACTACAAACCACTGCTCAACGAAATAAAAGAGGATACAAACAAATGGAAGAAAATTCCATGCTCATGGGTAGGAAGAATCAATATCGTGAAAATGGCCATACTGCCCAAGGTAATTTATAGATTCAATGCCATCCCCATCAAGCTACCAATGACTTTCTTCACAGAATTGGAAAAAACTACTTTAAAGTTCATATGGAACCAAAAAAGAGCCTGCATCACCAAGTCAATCCTAAGCCAAAAGAACAAAGCTGGAGGCATCACGCTACCTGACTTCAAACTATACTACAAGGCTACAGTAACCAAAACAGCATGGCACTGGTACCAAAACAGAGATATACATCAATGGAACAGAACAGAGCACTCAGAAATAACGCCGCATATCTACAACTATCTGATCTTTGACAAACTTGACAAAAACAAGCAATGGGGAAAGGATTCCCTATTTAATAAATGGTGCTGGGAAAACTAGATAGCCATATGTAGAAAGCTGAAACTGGATCCCTTCCTTATACCTTATACAAAAATTAATTCAGAAACTGGATCCCTTCCTTACACCTTATACAAAAATTAATTCAAGATGGATTAAAGACTTAAACGTTAGACCTAAAACCATAAAAACCCTAGAAGAAAACCTAGGCATTACCATTCAGGTCATAGGCATGGGCAAGGGCTTCATGTCTAAAACACCAAAAGCAATGGCAACAAAAGACAAAATTGACAAATGGGATCTAATTAAACTAAAGAGCTTCTGCACAGCAAAAGAAACTACCATCAGAGTGAACAGGCAACCCACAAAATGGGAGAAAATTTCTGCAACCTACTCATCTGACAAAGGGCTAATATCCAGAATCTACAATGAACTCAAACAAATTTACAAGAAAAAAAACAAACAACCCCATCAAAAAGTGGGCAAAGATATGAACAGACACTTCTCAAAAGAAGACATTTATGCAGACAAAAGACACATGAAGAAACGCTCATCATCACTGGCCATCAGAGAAATGCAAATCAAAACCACAATCACATACCATCTCACACCAGTTAGAATGGCAATCATTAAAAAGTCAGGAAACAACAGGTGCTGGAGAGGATGTGGAGAAATAGGAACACTTTTACACTGTTGGTGGGACTGTAAACTAGTTCAACCATTGTGGAAGTCTGTGTGGCGATTCCTCAGGGATCTAGAACTAGAAATACCATTTGACCCAGCCATCCCATTACTGGGTATATACCCAAAGGACTATAAATCATGCTGCTATAAAGACACATGCACACGTATGTTTATTGTGGCACTATTCACAATAGCTAAGACTTGGAACCAACCCAAATGTCCAACAATGATAGACTGGATTAAGAAAATGTGGCACATATACACCATGGAATACTATGCAGCCATAGAAAATGATGAGTTCATGTCCTTTGTAGGGACATAGATGACGCTGGAAACCATCATTCTCAGCAAACTATTGCAAGGACAAAAAACCAAACACTGCATGTTCTCACTCATAGATGGTAATTGAACAATGAGAACACATGGACACAGGAAGGGGAACATCACACTCTGGGGACTGTTGTGGGGTGGGGCGAGTGGGGAGGGATAGCATTAGGAGATACACCTAATGCTAAATGACGAGTTAATGGGTGCAGCCCACCAGCATGGCACATGTATACATATGTAACTAACCTGCACATTGTGCACATGTACCATAAAACTTAAAGTATAATTAAAAAAAAAAACTAAAAAAAAAAAAAGAAAACACCCTTACAGACTCACTCAATACTTTGCATTCTTCAATCCAATCTAGTTGACACTCAATATTAACCATCATAGTACCTCGTCATTACATTTTATTATCATATCAAGTTAAATATTTTGGGGAATAAAATTAAACAGGTGATGTGTCTTTCTCAGTGTCATTGGAGGCAGCAGAAAGTGTCGATGTGTTCTAATATTGGAAGTTTTTAATTTCGAAGGCTTGAATGAGGCATCTGGCAGATTTCTTGATTGTTGACATATCTTTTTGTATTTTTAATAAATAATATATTAATAAGAAATCATGGAGACTATGTGAATATCTTGTTTCCCAACAATTAGTTTTTGCATCAGCTGATGATTTCTTTCTACATCAATGATTACTTCTGTGATTTCCAAGAGATAATTTTTAATCCATCATTCCTTCTACATTAATTATACATGATTCTTTTTTAGAAAAACAGCTTTTCCTAAAACACACACACACACAAGCACTTGCACAAATGTCTGCATATAAGCATGTACATACACACACATTCAGTTTGTAATATTTCATTGATATAATTATTATTTTTGATGCTTTAGATTGGGCCATCAGAAGAAACTCCTTTAAGCTGTCTTCTGGTCCTGTGATATTTCCTCTTCAGGTTTAGAGTATTTCCTTGCTACTACATGCCCAAAATGTATTCCGGGCTTACTTTAACTTGCACTTTTCAGAAACCAGTCCGGGACTCTACCATTTCTCAAGTAATTTTCCTCTTGTCCTCCTGTTTAGTGATAGGTAACCAAAACATGGGCACTGAATGTTCATTGGTATTGCTTCTAGGCCCTTTCAGTGATCAGAGCTAAGAAAGCCTTGTATTCATGTTGGAATTTCAAAGTCCAAAACCATTCACAGGCTTCTTTCTTTCCTACATCCCTTATCTATGTCTTTCTCTCACATAGAGAGCCTTGGTTCTGAACTATGCCAATATATGTATTCATTTCCTCTGGCTTCTTTTTTTTTTAATTGCTTGATTTTATTTGACAGATAATAATTATATATATTTATGGGGTACAATGTGATATTGAAATAACACATACATTGTAGATTGATCAAGTTAGGTGAATTAACATATCTGTCACCTCAAATATCCATCGTTTTTTGTGGTGAGAATATTTACAATCTACTCTTTTCACAAGTTTAAAATATGTAATATATTATTATTAACTATAGTCACCAGCTATGCAATAGATCACTAGAAATTTTTTCTTCTAACTGAACCTTTGCCCCCTTTCTCTGTCTGTGCCTTCCATTCACTCCCCATCACCACTTCTGTTAACTACTATTCTACTTTATACTTTCATGACTCAACATTTTAAGATTTCACAGACAAGTGAGATCATGCAGTACTTGTCTTTCTGCACACTGTATATTTACCTTAATATAATGTCCTTCAGGTTCATCCATGTTGTTGGAAATGACAGAATTTTACTCTTTTTAAAGGCTAATTTAATGTTCTTTACATTGCACATAAATGCCACAGTTTTACATTTATTCATCCTTGATGGGAGCCTTGGTTATTTCCATACCTTGGCTATTGTGAATAATGTTGCAATGAACATATAAAAGGAGACATTTCTTTGACATACTGATATCCTTTTGGTAGAGTTGGCCCTCTGTAACCATGATTTCCATATCTGTTTTTTCAACCAATTGCAGATTGTGGTTTCCACATCTATGGTTTCAACCAATTGCAGATTGAAAATATTCAGAATTCTATTGCTTGGTCAGTTTCCACTGCTCCTTCTTCTTCTTCAGTTTGGGAGGCCCAAGTGGTTCTGCCACAGCCTCCATTGCCCTGTGCCCTGCAGTTCTTTGCAGAGGAAGCATGGGAGGGACTTGCCAAAATGGTTCCCAGGGATCCTAATTTCTGGAACTTCTGCAAGGACATTGAGGACTCAGTGGACTTTGAAGTTGCGGCAGTGAACTTTGGTGAGGAGGACTAGTATTTGATTAATTTTTCTCAGAAGATTCTCTATAGAGATGTGATGCAGAAAAACTTCAGGAACATGGTTTCTATAAGAAATGAATGAGAAGACCAGAATGTTGAAGGTCATTTCAATAATCTTGGAAGAAATCTAAAGCAAAAAGTGGGAACACCTCCCTATTGGAATGTTGTTGCCAGTGGAACAGAAAAACACTAGCCACTATAGGGCAGCAGGTGTTTAACCACAAGTGTCCGGAGAACAAAGCCGTGGGCATAGTACCAGCCCTGTAGGATTAGAATATGTAACCCAGGAGTGCTGAACCGAGCCTTGGACTCCTGCACTCTTCCAGAAATGAAGCCTGTCATCTGAACCCACCTTATAACACAGTTAACCCATCAAGGTCGTGAAAAAATATAAAATCAAAAACCCTATAGAAAGAACAGCTACTTCAAAGATTAAAATAACATCAGCCCCACTCCCCCACACCCCACAATAAGAAAGAAACAAGATAATAATGCTGACAACTCAAAAAGCCAGAGTGTCTTCTTACCTACAAGTGACCATACTATTTCCCCAGCAATGGTTTTTAACCAGACAGAAATGGCTGAAAAAACATGTGTAGAATTTAGAATATAAATAAGAAGGAAGATCATCGAGATTCAGGAGAATTTCAAAACTCAATCCAAGGGATTTAAGAAATCCAGTAAAACAGTACAAAAGCCGAAAGATTAAATAGTAATTTTAAGAAAGAACCAGACTGAACTGATACATTGAAAGCTCACTACAAGAATTTCATTAGACAATCAGAAGGATTAACAACAGAATAGAACATGTTGAGGAAAGAATCTCAGAGCTTGAAGTCCAGTTCTTTTAATGAACCGAGTCAGAATAAAAAGCAAAGAATTAAAAAGAATGAACAAAACCTCCAAGAAATGTGAGTTTATGTAAAGAGACCAAACTTAGGACTCATTGATGTTCCTGAAATAGAGGAACAAAAAGCAAGAAACTTGTAAAACATATTTGAGGATACTGTCCACAAAAATTTCCCCAACCTCAATAAAGAGGCTGACTTTCAAATTCAGGAAATGCAGAGATACTATACAAGATGACCATCTTCAAGACACATGGTCATCTCCAAGGTCCATGTTAAAGAAAAAATGTATTAAAAGCTGTTAGAGAGAAGAGGCACATCACCTACAAACAGAATTCCATTAGACTAACAGTGTACCTTTCACCAAAAACAGCACAAACTAGAAGAGATTGAGGGTCTATAGTCAACATTCTTAAAAAAGAGAAATTCCAACCAAGAATTTCACATCCAGCCAAACTAATCTTCAAAAGTGAAGGAGAAATCAGACCTTTTTCAGACAAAGAAATGCTAAGGAAATTTATTACCACTGGACATGCCTTATAAGAGGTCCATAATGGAGTGCTAAACATGGAAATGAAAGACCACTGTTAGCTACCACAAAAACACACTTAAGTACATAAGCCATTGACCCCATAAAGCAAATATACAATCAAGTCTGCAAAATAACCAGCTAAAAAAATAATGACAGGGCCAAATCCACACCAACTTTGAACATTAATGGGCTAAATGCCCCACTTAAAAGTCACAGAGTCGCAAGCTGGATAACGAACCAAGACCCAACTCTATGTTGTCTTCAAGAGACTCATGTCACATGCAATGAAGCCCATAGACTCAAACTAAAGGGATGGAGAAAAATCTACCTGGCAAATGGAAAACAAAAAAGAGCAGGTGTTTCTATACTAATTTCAAACAAAACAGACTTTGAAACAACAATGATCAAAAAAGACAAAGAAGGACATTACATAATGATAAAGGGTTCAATGTAAAAAGACTTAACATATGAAATTTAAAGTAGTTTTTTCCAATTCTGTGAAGAAAGTCAGTGGTAGCTTGATGGGGATGAAGAGCCTATATATTCAAGACAATCTTAAGCAAAAAGAACAAATCTGGAGGCATCACACTAACTGACTTCAAACTATACTACGAGGCTTCAGTAACCAAAACAGCATGGTACTGGTACCAAAACAGAGATACAGACCAATGCAACAGAACAGAGATCTCAGAAATAACACCACACACCTACAACCATCTGATCTTTGACAAACCTGACAAAAACAAGCACTGGGGAAAAGATTCCCTATTTAATAAATGGTGTTGAGAAAACTGGCTAGCCATAAGCAGAAAGCTGAAACCGTATCCCTTCCTTACGCCTTACACAAAAATTAACTCAAAGTGGATCAAAGACTTAAATGTAAGACCTACAACCATAAAAACCCTAGAAGAAAACCTAAGCAATACCATTTAGGACATAGGCATGGGCAAATACCTCATGACTAAAACAGCAAAAGTAATGGCAACAAAAGCCCAAATAGACAAATGGGATCTAATTAAACTAAAGAGCTTCTGCACAGCAAAACAAACTATCAGCAGAGTGAACAGGCAACCTACAGAATGGGAGAAAATTTTTGCAATCTATCCATCTGACAAAAGGCTAATATCCAGAATCTACAAAGAACCTTAAACAAATTCATAAGAAAAAAGCAAACAACCCCATCAAAAAGTGGGCAAAGGATATGAACAGACACTTCTCAAAAGAAGACATTTATACAGCCAACAAACGTGTGAAAAAAAGCTCATCATCTCTGATCATTAGAGAAATGCAAATCAAAACCACAATGAGACACCATCTCACACCAGTTAGAATGGGCATCATTAAAAAGTCAGGAAAGGCCGGGCACAGTGGCTCATGCCTGTAATCTTAGCACTTTGGGAGGCCGAGGCGGGCGGATCACAAGGTCAGGAGATTGAGACCATGGTGAAACCCCGTCTCTACTAAAAATACAAAAAAATTAGCCGGGCACGGTGGTGGGTGCCTGCAGTTCCAGCTACTCGGGAAGCTGAGGCAGGAGAATGGCATGAACCTGGGAGGCAGAGCTTGCAGTGAGCTGAGATTGTGCCACTGCACTCCAGCCTGGGTGACAGAGCAAGACTCCATCTCAGAAAAAAAAAAAAAAAAAAAAAAGTCAGGAAACAACAGATGCTGGAGAAGATGTGGAGAAATAGGAACACTTTTACACTGTTGGTGGGAGTGTAAATTAGTTCAACCATCGTGGAAGACAGTGTGGCGACTCCTCAAGGATCTAGAAATAGAAATACCATTTGACTCAGCAATACTGTTACTGGGTATATACCCAAAGGATTAAAAATCATTCTACTATAAAGACACATGCACACGTATGTTTATTGCAGCACTGTTCACAGTAGCAAAGTCTTGGAATCAACCCAAATGCCCATCAATGATAGACTGGATAAAGAAAATGACACATATACACCATGAAATACTATGCATCCACAAAAAAGGATGAGTTCATGTCCTTTGTAGGGACATGGATGAAACTGGAAACCATCATTCTCAGCAAAGTAACACAAGAACAGAAAACCAAACACCACATGTTCTCACTCATAAGTGAGAGTTGAACAATGAGAATACATGGACACAGGGAGGGGAACATCACACACCAGGGCCTGTAAGGGGGTGGAGGGCTGGGGGAGGGATAGCATTAGGAGACATACCTAATGTAAATGATGAGTTGATGGGCACAGGAAACCAACATAGCACATGTATACCTATGTAACAAACCTGCACGTTGTGCACATGTACCCCAGAACTTAAAGTATAATAATAAATAAAAAAAAAGACTTAACAATCCTAAATGTATATGCACCCAACACAGGAGCACCAGATTCATAAAGCAAGTTCTTAGAGACCTACAAAGGTATTTAGATAACCACACAATAATAGTAGAAGACTTCAACACCATGCTGACAATACTAGACAGATCATCAAGGCAGAAATCTAACAAAGATATTTAGGACATGAACTTGACACTTGACCAAATGGTCCTAACAGATACCTACAGAACACTCCACCCAACAACAACAATACATATTCTTGTCTTCTGCATGTGACACATAACCTAAAATCAACCACATGATCAGCCATAAAACAGTTCTCAACAAATTAAAAAAAATAAAATTATACCAACTACAGTCTTGGACCACAGTGCAATAAAAATAAAAATCAATACTAAGAAGATACTCAAAACCATAGGATTACATGGAAATTACAAAACCAGCTCCTGAATGATTTCTGTGTAAATAATAAAATTAAGTCTGAAATCAATAAATTATTTGAAACTAATGAAAACAAAGATACAAGATATCAGAATCTCTGGGACCCAGCTAAGGCAGTGTTAAGAGGAAAGTTTATAGTGTTAAGTGCCCATATCAAAAAGTTAAGAAGTATCTCAAATTAAGAATCTAATATCTCACCTAGAGGAACTAGAAAAATAAGTCAAACCAAAGTACTTCACAGCTATCAGAAAAAAGTGAATAACTGAAATCAGAGCTGAGCTGAACTGAATCAAATTAAGATGAGAAAAAACATATAACGGATCAAGAAAACCAAAAGTTGTTTCTCCCAAAGAATAAATAAGTTTGATAAATTGCTAGCTAAATTGATAAAGAAAAAAAAGAAGATCCAAATAAAAACAATTAGAATTGATAAAGGTGACATCATCACAAAAATACCAAAAACAAAAATAAAAACAAAAAAATCCTCAGAGGCTATTACAAACACTTCTTTGAACAGAAACTAGAAAACCTAGAAGAAATGAATAAATTCCTGGAAACATGCAACCTCTCAAGACTGAATCAAGATTCAATCCCAAGATTAAACCTTCCAAGATTGAGAGGAAGTTAAACTATCTATCTTTGCCAAATATATGATTTTATAGCTATAAAACTCCTTAGTTTCTTCCTAAAAGCTCATAGATCTGATAAATAACTTCAGTAATGTTTCAGGATACAAAATCAATTTACAAAAATGAGAAATTAAAACCCTGTATGGACTAATAACTAGTTCTAAAATTGAATTAGTGATGAACCAGAAAATCCCTGGGACATATGGATTCAGAGCCAAACTCTACCAGACATATAAAAAATAACTGGTACTAAGCCTACTGAAATTATTCCAAAAATTAAGAAAGGGGAACTCCTCCCTAACTCATTCTATGTAAGCAGCATTATTCTGATACCAAAACCTGGCAAAGTCACAACCAAAAAGGAAAACTTCAGGCCAGTATTCCTGAGAAACATATATGCAAAATTTCTTAACAGAATACTAGCAAACTGAATCCAACAGCACATCAAAAAGCTAATTCAGTACAATCAAGTAGGCTTTATACCTGGAATGCATGGTTGGCTCAACATATGCAAATCAATAAATGTAATTCATCACATAAACAGAACTAAAAATAAAAACCACATGATTTTCTCTACAGATGCATGAAAGAGTTTGATTAAATTAAATATCCCTTTACATTAAAAACCCTCAAGAAACTAGGCATTGAAGGAACATACCTCAAAATAATAAGAGCCATCTATGAGAAACCCACAGCCAACATTATACTGAACGGGGAAAAGCTGGAAACATTCCCCTTAAGAACTGGAATAAGACAAGGATGCCCACTTGTCTATTCTATTTAACATAGTACTGGAAGTCCTAGACAGAGCAATCAGGCAAGATAAAATATAAAAGGCATCCGAATAGGAAGAGAGGAAGTCAACCTATCTCTCTTTGCCAAGGACATAATTTTATGCCTACAAAACCCCAGTCTCTGCCCAAAAGCCCCTAGATTTGAAAAAAACTTCAGGAAAGTTTCAGGATACAAAATCAGTGTACAAAAATCAGTAGCATTTCTATACACCAACAGCATCCAAGCTGAGAGCCATGTCAAGAACACAGTCCCACTTATGATAGCCACAAAAAAATAGAATAAAATACCTAGAGTACTAACAAGGGAGCTGAAAGATCACCACAACTAGATTTAAAAACCACTGATGAAAGAAATCAGATATACCACAAACAAATAGAAAAACATCCCATGCACATGGACAGGAAGAATCAATATTGTTACAATGGCCATACTGCCCCAAAGAATTTAAAGATTCAATGCTATTCCTATCAAACTCCCAGTTTTTCACAGAATTAGAAAAAAAAAACTAGTCTCGAATTCATACTGAACCAAAAAAGAGCCTAAATGGCCAAAGCACTTCTAAGCAAAAACAAAAACAAATATCAAAATCAAAAACAAAAAACAAAATCCAAAGCAAACAAACAAAAGACAAAGCTATTACACTATCTGACTTCAAACTACACTACAAGGCTACAGTAAACAAAAGAGTATGGATTCATGCAAAATCAAACAGACTAATGAAACAGATTATAGAACACAGAAATAAAGCCACTAACCTACAGCCATTTAATCTTCAACCAAGTCACAAAAACAAGCAATGGGGAATGGATTCTGATACAGTTTGGTCATGTTTCTACCCAAATCTCATACTGAGTAATAGTTCCCATAATCCCCATGTGTCATGGGAAGGACTTGGTTGGAGGTAATTTAATCATGGGGGTGGTTACTCTCATGCTGTTCTCATGATAGTGAGTGAATTCTCACAAGATCCCATGGTTTTATAAGTGGCTTTCTCCCATTTTACTCAACATTTTTCCTTGCTGTCACCATGCAAAGAAGAATGTGTTTGCTTCCCCTTCCACTATGATTGTAAGTTTCCTGAGGCCTCCCCAGTACTGTGGAACTGTGAGTCAATTAAACCTCTTTCCTTTATAAATTACCCAGTCTCAGGTATTTCTTCATAGTATGAGAACAAACTAATACCATAAATTTGTACCACAGAGTGGGGCACAGCTGTAAAGATACTTGAAAATGTGGAAATAATTTGGGAACTGTGTAACAGGCAGAGGTTGGAACCATTTGGAGGGCTCAGAAGAAGACAGGCAAATCTGGGAAAGTTTGGAACTTACTAGAGACTTGGAAGGCTTAGAAGACAGGAAGATGTGGGAAAGTTTGGAAATTCCTAGAGACTTGTTGAATGGCTTTGACCAAAATGCAGATAATGATGTGGACAAAGATGTCCAGGCTGAGGTGGTCTCAGATGAAGATGAGGAACTTTTCTTGAACTGGAATAAAGGTCACTCTTGCTATGTGAAGAGACTGGCAGCATTTTGCCCCTGCCCTAGAGATCTAACTTTGAACGTCAGAGAGATGATTTGGGGTATCTGGCAGGAGAAATTTCTAAGTGGCAAATCATTCGAGAGGAGGCAGAGCATAATGATTGAAAAATTTGCAGTCTGACAATATGACAGAAAATAAAACCCCATTTTCTAGACAGAAATTTAAGCTGGCTGCAGAAATTTGCATAAGTAATGATGAGCTGAACGTTAATCACCAAGACAATGGGAAAAATGTCTCCAGGGAATGTTGGGGGTTTTCACAGAAGTCCCTCCCATCACAGGCCTGAAGGCCTGTGGGGAAAAATGGCTTCATGGACAGGACCCAAGGCCCCCTTTCTCTACGCAGCCTTGGGACATGGTGCCTTGTGTCTCAGCTGCTTCAGATCCAGCCGTGGCTAAAAGGGGCCAAGTACAGCTTAGGCTATTGCTTCAGAGGGTGCAAGACCCAAGCCTTGGTGGTTTACATGTGTTGTTGGGCCTGTGTGTACACAGAAGTCAAGAATTGATGTTTGGGAACCTCCACCTAGATTTCAGAAGATGTGTGGAAATGCCCAGAGGTCCAAGCAGAAGTTTGCTGCAGGGGCAGAGCCCTCATTAAGAACCTCTGCTAGGGGAGTGCAGGAGGGAAATGTGGGGTCCAAGCCCCCGCACAGAGTCCCTACTGGGGCACTGCCTACTGGAGCTGTGAGAAGAAGGCCACCATCCTCCAGACCCCAGAATGGTAGATCCACCAACAGCTTGCACTGTGCACCTGGAAAAGCCACAGACACTCAACACCAGGCTGCGAAAGCAGCCAGGAGGGGAGCTTTACCCTGCAAAGCCACAGGGGCAGAGCTGCCCAAGGCTGTGCGACCCCACCTCTTGCATCTGTGTGATCTGGATGTGTGACATGGAATCAAAGGAAATAATTTTGGAACTTTAAGGTTTAGTGACTTCCCTATTGGATTTTGGAGTTGCATGGCCTTTGTTTTGGTCAATTTCTCCCATTTGGAATGGGTGTATTTACCCAATGTCTGTACCCCTTTGTATCTAGGAAGTAACTAACTTGCTTGTGATTTTACAGGCTCATAAGTGGAAGGGACTTGCCTTGTGTCAGATGAGACTTTGGACTTGGACTTTTGAGTTAATGATCGAATGAGTTAAGACTTTGGGGGACTGTTGGAAGGGCATGATTATGTTTGAAATGTGAGGACATGAGATTTGGGAAGGGCCAAGGGTGAAATAGTTTGGTTTGGCTGTGTCTCCACCCAAATCTCATCTTGAATTGTGGTTACCACAATCTCCACATGTCATGGGAGGGACTTGGTGGGAGGTAATTTAATCGTGGGGGTGGTAACTCTCATGCTGTGCTTGTGATAGTGAGTGACCTCTCACAAGATATGATGGCTTTTCCCCCTTGTGTTTGGCACTTCCGCTGCTGCCATGTGAAAAATGATGTTTGACTCCCCTTCCGCCATGATTGTACGTTTCCTGAGGCCTCTCCAGGCCTGTGGATTTATGAGTCAATTAAACCCATTTCCTTCGTAAATTACCCAGTCTCAGGTATTTCTTCACAGCAGCATGAGAATGGACTAATACAGATTCCTTATTAAATGTTGCTGGGAAAACTGGCTAACCATATGCAAATGATTGAAACCAGGCTCTTTCCTTTTACCATATACAAAAATCAACTCAAGATTGATTAAAGACTTAAATATATAGTCTAAAACTGTAAGAATCCTAGAAGTAAACCTAGGGAATACCATTTTGGGCATATGCCTTGGCAATAATTTCATGACAAAAACACCAAAAACAATTGTCACAAAAACAAACATTGACAAATGGGACTTTAATGACTAAAGAGCTTCTGCACAGCAAAAGAAACTATCAACAGAGTAAGCAGACAAGCTACAGAATGGAAAAAATATTTTCAAAGTATGCATCCAACAAAGATCTAATATCCAGAATCTATAAGAAACTTAAACAAATCAACAAGCAACAAACAAACAATTCTATTAAAAAATGGGCAAAAGACATGAACAAATACCGCTTAAAAGAAGACATACGTATGGCCAAAATGCATATAAAGTGATACTCAACATCACTAATCATTAAAAGAATGCAAATCAAGATCACAATGAGATACCATCTCATACTAGTCAGAATGGCTATTATTAAAAAGTCAAAACAGAAAAAAAATGCTGACGAGGTTGTCTAGAAAAGGAAATATTTATATACTGCTGGTAGAATGTAAACTAGTTCAGCCACTGTGGAAAGCACATTGGACGGTTCTCAAAGAACTTAAAACAGAATTTCCATTTGACCCATAAATCCCATTACTGGGATTTATTTTCAGTGGAATACAAATCATTCTACCATGAAGACACATGTACACAAATGTTCACTGCAGTGCTATTCATTACAGCAAAGACATGGAATCAATGTAATTGCCCATCAATGGTGAACTGGATAAAGAAAACCTGATATATATACACCATGGATTACTATACAACCATAAAAAAAGAATGAGACGATGTCCTGTGCAGAAACATGAATGAAACTGGAGGCCATTATCCTAACCAAATTAACACAGGAACATAAAACCAAATACTACATGCTCTCACTTATTAGTGGGAGCTAAACATTGAGTACACATTCACACAAAGAAAGAAATAATAGACACTGCGGCCTAGTTGTGGGTGGAGGGTGGGAGGAAGGTGAGGATCAAAAAGCTACCGATCAGGCACTATGCTTATTACCTGGGTGATAAAATTATCTGTACAACAGATCCCCATGACCTGCAACTTACCCATATAACAAACCTGCACTTCCACCCAGGAACCTACAATAAAGGTTGGAAAAAAAGAAAATATTCAGAAAAAAAGATAATTGTGTCTGCACTAAATTCATACAGACGTTTCTTTCTTGTCATTATTCCCTAAACAATAGAGTATAACAACTATTTACATAACATTTACATTGTGTTAGGTATTATAAGTAATCTAGAGATCATTAAAGTATGTGAAAATATGTGTTCAGGTTATATGCAAATATTATATCATGTTTATAAGGGACTTGAATATCTGTATATTTTAGTATCCATGGGGATCTCAGAATCAAATATCCACAGATACTGAGGGATGACTGTATATCTAGTAGTGGCATTGCTGGATCACATGGTAATCCTATTTTTTTTTTTGAGAAAACCTTTATATTGCTTTTTCACAATGGCCATACTAATATTATTACCAACAATGCATTGAAAACAGAGCAGTGTTCTGTTTTCTCTACATTCTTACCAACACTTGTTATCTTTTGTTTTTTTGATAAAAACCATTTTCACAAATGTGAGGTAATATCTCATTATGCTTTTTGTTAGCATTTTCCTGATGATTAATGATGTTAAGCGTTTTTTTCATATATCTGCTTGCTATTTGCGTATATTTTTGACAAAAGTCTTTTCAAGTCCTTTGCCCATTTCTTAATAGGGTTATTTCCTGGCTATTGAGCTATTTAAGTTCCTTATGTAATTTGGGTATTAGCCCTCATCAGATGTATAGTTTGTAAACTTTACTCTCATTCTGTAAGTTGTGTTTCCACTTTGTTGATCATTTTCTTTATTATGCTAAAGATTTTTAGATTGCAATCTATTCATAATTATATCATTTTTTGAAGCCATTGTAAATGTAATTTTTAAATTTCTTTTTTTAATATAGTTCACTCTTAGGTATAGAAATGCTACTCATTTTCACATCCTGAAACTTTACTCAATTCATTTATTAGTTTTAATTGTTTTTTGGTGAATTCTGTGAACAGCAACAATTTAACTTCCTCGTGCCTTTTATTTTTTCTCTCACTTCATTGTTATAGCTAAGACCTCCAATATTATGTTGATTAGATGTGGCAAGAGTGAGCATCCTTGTCTTGATCTTAGAAAAAAATGGTTTCAACTTTTTACCACTGAGTGTGATGTTAGCTGTGGGTTTGTCATATATAACATTATGTTGAGGTACATTCTTTTTATACATACCTTTCTGAGAGTTATTATCATAAAATATGTTGAATTTTGTTAAATGCTTAAATGTTTTATCGGTATCCATTTAAATTGTCATACATTTTGTCCTTCATTATGTTAATGTGGTATATCACATTTATATATTTGCACAGGTTGACCAATCATTGCATCCTTGGAATTAATCCCACTTTAATGTGGTGAATGATTCTTTCAATGTGCTGTTGAATTAAGTTTGTTAGTATCTTGTTATGTTTTTGCATCTATATTCATAAGGGAATTTGGTCTGTAATTTTCTTTTTTTGTAGTACCCTTTTCTGGCTTTGGTATCAGGGTGATGTTGGCCTCCTAAAATGAGTTTGGAAGCATTCTTTTCACTTTTTTGGAAGGAGGTGAGAATAATTTTTATTAGATTGAGTATTCTCTAAGTTGATAAAATTCAGTAGTGAAGAAATAAGGTCTAGGCTTTTCTTTGATGGGAGATTTTTCTTACTGATTCAATCTCCTTTCTCATTATTGATCTGTTTGGGTTTTCCATTTCTTTATGATTCAGGCTTGGTAGGTTGTATGTGTCTAGGAATGTAGCCATTTCATGTAGCTTATCGAATTTGTTTGCAAGTAATTTTTTATAACAGTCTCTTTGTATTTCTGTTGTCTTAGTTGTTATATCTTCTTTTTCATTTCTGATTTTATTTATTTGAGTCTTGTCTCTTTTTTTAGTAATCTAGCTAAAAGTTTGTCAATATTGTTCATTTCATCATGTATTAATTTGTTTGTTGGTTCATCCATGAAACTCGAAAAAAAATCCTTGATAAAGGCACTATGTATATATATATATATATATACAGTGAATATATATATAGTGTATATAGTGAGTATATATATATATATACAGTGAGTGTATATATATATACACACATATATATACATACATATACACATATATATATATATTCTTGTTTGTTTGTTTGTTTTTGAGACAGAGTCTCGCTCTGTCACCCAGGCTGGAGTGCAGTGGCACGACCTCGGCTCACTGCCACCTCTGCCTCCTGGCTTCAAGTGATTCTCCTGCCTCAGCCTCTCAAGTAGCTGGGACTATAGGTGCCCAACACCACACCTGGCTAATTTTTGTATTTTTAGTAGAGACGGAGTTTCACCATATTGGCCAGGCTGGTCTCAAACTCCTGACCTTGTGATCCACCTGCCTTGGCCTCCCAGAGCGCTGGGATTACAGGCATGAGCCACTGCGCCCAGCCGGCACTGTATGTGTGTGTGTATATATATATATATATATATTTACATTTTTATTGTGCTGTATAAGGCCATTCTTGCATCGCTATAAATAAATACTTGAGATTGGGCCATTCATTTTAAAAAGAGGTTTAATTGGCTCACAGTTCTGCAGGCTTTACAGAAAGCATGGTGCTGGCACCTGCTCAGCTTCTAAGGAGGCCTTAGGAAACTTTACAATTATGATGGAAGGTGAAGGGGCAATAGGCACATCACATGGGGAAAGCAGGAGCAAGTGAGAGAGAGTGGGGAGGAGGACCACACACTTTGAAATGACCAGATCTTGCAAAAACTCACTCACTAAGGACAGTTCCAAGGGAATAGTGCTAAACCATCTATAAGAAATCCACCCCATGCTCCAATCACCTCCCACCAGGCCACACCTCCAATACTGAGGATTACAATTTAACATGAGATTTTGGCAGGGACACATATACAAACTATATCATATAGGTGCATAATAGGTGTATATATATATGTGTATATATATATATATGGAGTATATGTCATGTTTTGATATAAGCATACAATATATAATAAGCACATTAGGGTAATTGGGGTATACATCCCCTCAAGCATTTATTATTCTTTTGTGTTAGGGACAGTCCAATACCACTCTTACAGTTGTTTTAAAATATAAAATAACTTATTGTTGACTATAGCTACCATGTTGTACTGTCAAATACTGGATTGTATTCGGTCTATCTAACTACATTCTTGTACGCATTAATCATCCCTACTTTATCCCCCCTCCCCACTTCCCTTCACTTTATATCTTGCAAATGTTATTTTACTTATGAATAGAACCTTATGAGGTGAGTGCTATTATTATTCCTATTATATAAATAAGAACAAGTTAGCAATTTGTTTATCATTACAGAAATAGGTAGTGGCAGAACCTTAACTAAAATTCAGGTATTCTTATTCCCAAGCTGAGGCATCATGCTATATGCCATGTTTTAATGACAGGTGCGGAAATACATACCAGAGTCAGATAACAGTGTCTACTCCAATTCACCCTTTGCCTTGAAAGGGACACAGATATGTTAGGAGATATTTATAATTTAAAACAGAAAAGTGATTCATTCTGCCGATCTTACATGCCATGCTAATTACTGTAATAAAGAACAAGATGGGTATTTATCAACTTACAGATTCATTATAAGCTGTTTGCTTTCAGTGAATGGAAGTGTTTGAAAGAGAAACACCTTTATAAGCTTACCTTGAGAATATGTTATTAGCACATGTTTCTTTCTCCATTGGGCTCTATTAGGGCAAGTTGAGAAATCCAGCAGTAAAAGGCAAATGTAAGAAAAAAAGGTGGCATGATAGAATTTTCTTTTTAAGAAAATAATTTCACGAGCAGTGTGGAAGATAAGTTGGAATATGAGAGACAGTAGTGGTAGGGGGAAGGATACAAGGTCCTTGTAAAATTCTAGCAAAATTTGATGAATACATCAGGAAATATTTTAATAGCATTTATCAGTTATAAACTTCATATCATTTTTCCAAAATTAAACGTAAAGATACATAGCAATCATTTATAGAATTTCTTTTTGTTTTATTTTGTTTTGGTAGGAACTTGCTGTAGGCAGTAGATCTTAAGAGAGTGAGGAAATCACACGCTTATTTTCTTTGTACTGCATATCAGTTACCCTCCAGTTAAGATTCTAAAATAAAATTTGATTAATTAACAAGTAAATACAATAATTAAATATTGATGAAGATTAACTTTTTTTGAGCAGGTATTATACGTCTCCTGAAATATCAGTTTCTGCTACATAGCAGAGGCAGAATAATGGCACCCTGAAGATACTCATGTACCAATCCCCAGCTTTGAATATGTTAAGTGACACTGCACAGTGGAATTGAGGTTACAAGTGAAATTACAGATGCCAATCAGCTAACCATGGGACAGGGAGATTAGTCTGGGTTATTAAGGTGGGCCCAATGTATTAGAGAGAGAAGATCTTAGGAGTGGAAGATGGAAAGGACACAGAAGAGGGCAGCAGAAGAGTTAGCAGAGATATGCCTATGGAAGAGTGCCAAGCGAAACGATGTGGAAAGGGCTAGATTACATTTTGTTAGCTTTGAAGATGGAGGAAGGGGGACTACAAGCCTAGGAATGCAGGCATCCTCTAGAAGCTGGGAAAGGCAAAGAAAGAGATCTATCCAGTACTTCTACAGAGGAACAGAGCTCTGTTGAAGCCCAATGATGACTTGATTTTAGCTCGGTGAGACTTGTGTCAGACTTCTGACCTCCAGAACTGTGATATAATAAGCTTGTGTTGTTTAACACATCAATGTTTGTAGTAACATGTTAAAGCAGCAATAGTGAACAAAATAACAGGTTAATTGGTTAATTTTATTTTATTGGATTGCCAACACAGGCATATTTTTCATAAGTTTGCTTACAAATTCTGTCAGGGAATTATCACTGCTGTCAGTCCCTTACTGAAAAGCAAGTCTGTCTCCATCTGTGAAGGTCATTGTCTTTGATAATATGTTTAGTTTTAGAAAAAAGAAATCCATGTGAAGCTCTGTTGGCAGAAGGGGAAAATCTCTCACACACATCATCAACCAACTAACCCTGCTACCCAGTAGGAGTCACGTCCTGGACACACCGATCTCACAGTGAGAGCTTTTACTTCCACAACAGCAGCTGTGCTTTGGGCTTGTAAAAAGGAACAGATTAGTATATAGTATACCTCTTCATTCATTTCAAAGCTAACCAGAAGTTGGATTTAAAGATTACATACAAACAAGGAGAAACACCACAGGTACATGTACATACACACACAACTATGGGATACTTGTGCTCACAGAAACCTAAAAACCAGACTTACTTAATTAGCACTTTTCTTGGTATATAAAATAAAATCCCCCCATATTAAAAAAGTATAAAATCATTAAAAAATTCTAAATGTCTGGTATATAAGGATAAAGTTATGATTAAAGATAAACAACTAATAAATTAAAATATTTAGTTGGGAGCTAGAAATTTAAGGAAATGAAATTGCAAGTTCAATTATTTTAAAGCAATATTTCATTCCTAAAGTAAATCTTTTATATTTCATGTGCCTCTGAAACTGTCTTAATCTTTCCTTCTACGTTAAGAAACAAACATAATAGCAGAGAAAACCATATGCCCAGTTATTAGAATTTGCTCTGAAATGTTTTCACAATGTTCAAATTTAATTTAACTTTTTGTATTTAATTTACTTTTGAAATAGTTTCTGCTAAAGTTATTTAAACTTTTTTGTAACTTTCAACAGTCATAGTTATTATCAATGTTCTCATTCTATATACATAAATGAAAGTAAGATAAAGGAAAAATTTGAGGGTATGTGAATATGTCAGTGTATTAACACTTACAAATATTTAAAAATATTTTAATAAATTTATTTTAATATATTTAATAATAGGCATATTTCTTATATTCCACATAATTCCTTTAATTAATTTTTATATATACAGCCAATCCAGCCAATAATTATCTTATTTTTCACATAGAATTTTAAGTGCCATTATCAATTAAGTATCAATGCTGAAAGTTTGATCTGACAAAATATTCAGTATTTTACTTTTCAAAAATAAAATATTCACACATTATTTCAAAGCTTAAATAATGACAGACTTGGTACTTAACATTCCTTTAAATATCTATCTTATTTTACTATTAGGAGTAAAGCTTAAAAGCAAATTGGCATGGAAAAATTGTGTAGTTTATTAATTTCTAATTTATACTAAATGTGTATGTCAGTTAAAAGGAGAGAGGAAAAGCATAGTGGAGTGGAGAAATATAAGGTTTTGGTTCATATGAAGAAATATATATGTTGTTATAATAATAAGTCCACTTTCAATATAATATTGCCATCACAATACCTGCAGAAATCTGTTTGAATTCATATATAGTTATTTGCAAAATGCCTTTACCTTTGGGTTCCTTTTATAATACACAAGCACAAATCTGAAAATAGACTCATTGAAAAGGTGAATTTGTTAAAAATAATTCTCACCAATTTGTTTTTCCTGACATAATATATTTTCTTGTCAGTTATTACAACTTGCTCTTATACTTTCTTAATGCTGCATTCCCACATTTATACCTATCTGCTCTTCTGAGACTATTGTTCACAATATATGCTAAGTTATTCAGGCAAAGGAGGTATCTAGGTGGCATAAAGATCTACATGTGCAATATAAAGCTGTAAAGTTAACAGAAGAAAAGTCAGTAAAATAGCTCTGTGATCACGTTATGGGGAAGTATTAAAAAATTTGGAAAGTGCACACCATAGGGCAAAAAGTCTATCATTGTGATTAAGCAAAAATTGAGGACTTCCGTGCATTGAAAAAGACCACAGTCTCTTCACATAAAGAGATTTTCAAATTGCTTATAATTATATAAATGCAAATGAAAACCACCATTTGATTTCACTATACCAATCTTAGCTTGACTTAAAGTGCAAAGCACTGACGACTGTATGGGATTTAGGAATGCTCAGGCCCCTCTGGTGGGATTGCAGAGCTGTTCTGGAGAAAAGCATGCAACTTCTTAGACATCAATTATTCTACTGAATATAAGTCCCATAGTAATTTTTGTACAGATCCACAGGGGCTTATACATGTGTATATTCCTTGTAGGGAATTATTTGTGGAGGTAAGAAGTTAGAAGCATTCTGGATGTTCATTACAGGGGAGTGAAGAAGTATACTCGCCATGTTGTATGGCAGTTAGATGCCACTGACTCAAGGTCCACATGGTGACATAGGCAAATCTTTAAAAAACTGTGCTCAGTAAAAAAATCCAAGAAAGAGAATTAGCTATATAATGCACCAGTCTTTGTGAAAATTAAAAACACAAGCATAAAAAATAATGATATACATTTAATAAGATTACATGCTTACAAAGGATTAAATGGTTGCCTATGCAGGCAGGTTGGAGGTGGGTAAAGAAGGAATAAAGAAATAAAATAAGAAAGGTGAAAACAATAATGAAACCCCCCCCACTACAACTCTGTTGGCTCACATTGAACCCTAATGGTTGATCCAGAACCACCAAATAAGAGAGGGCTCCTCTGAAGTTTCAATAACAACATATGTCATAAATAATTTTCAAATTAAATGAGTGTGAATAGGTAACTATTTGATAGCTTTTATAAAATAGAATGAAATCAATAAAAGAGGAATTAAGAGATATTCTTCATGGCAGAACTGTTAACCAAGACATGATCTGTCAGAAAACTTTTAACCTATTTTTTTTTTTAATAATTACATGTCCCACATATGAAATAGAAATCTCCAAAATTTATATGCTGGAGAATGCACTGCCCAGATGCTGACTGAGATACAATTACCAATTGTAGGTTTTAAATTGGTCTCCCATAGAAAGATAAACCATGGATCTGTGATTAATATGAAAGTTTATTTCTGTAAAAGGAAGTCTGATCCAAGTGGGGATGCATGTTCTTGCTGAGCGGCCTGTAGGTGAAATGTTTTTAAACTTTCATGTACCATATAATTGAGTGGTATTATTATTTCTTTACCAAGGGCACAATGCATGTCTATAACATTTCTACTAATAGGTAAGATTTTTTTTTCCTTATTAAATGAACACTGACTTAAGGAGAATATTATAGGGGAATTATATTAATAATTTCTTGGGCAAAGATAAAATAATTGTTCTTTCATCACAGAGTATTGAGCAGCTTATTTCTTCCTATCCACGTAGTCCACCTCAGATGCTATCATATTCATTTAGATTTTAATTTATAATAATTAAAAAAATTATTTCCTGACATCTGAAGGAGTTAATAGTTGTCACATTATTTGGAACTTTTTTACCCTCATTTATGGAAATCATCAAAACATATAATGATATTCATTTTAGAACTGAAAGCCCATAAAAATATTCACTAGAGATTTTCTAGGTTTGAAGTATGTCTTGGTGATGGAATCAACTACATCATCAAATAGTTTTTCTAGAATGCTGCCCTTATTAAGTTTCAATTTGGACTTAAGTATAGTAAGACCAATATACACTCAACTGTGTGACTATGGTATGTTAGAAAAACAAAAATAAATAATTAACTAATTATCTATAAATAGGTTGATAGAGCCCGTGCTGAAAATAATTGGATAGAGGTGAAAATCCTCTGGATGACCTAATGCACTATTTTTCTATCCCACAGTTTGACATGAAACTTTAAAAAATGTACCACGACACAAGTATAAGCTCAATTTAATATAGAATTCCTGTTGTTTTGTGCTCACCGATTTTGAACTAAACCAAAGGATTTGGGTCAGGTTGTATGAGCAGTACTATTCTCCCCTAGAGCTAGAATGATCACTGGAGGTCTGAAAAACTAACAGCAGGAAAAGGAGGTTCTACGATCATCGAGACATCTTTGTGTTGTCTTTTAAGATTTAACAAACTTGTATAACTGAACTCTTTTTTTTTTTTTTTCTTTAAACAGAATCTTGCTCTGTCGCCCAGGCTAAAGTGCAGTGGTGCGATCTTGGCTCATTGCAACCTCTGCCGTCTGGGTTCAAGCGATTCTCTTGCCTCAGCCTCCAGAGTAGCTAAGATTACAGGTGTGCGCCACCACGCCCAGCTATTTAGAGATGGGGTTTCATCATGTTGGCCAGGCTGGTCTCAAACTCCTGACCTCAAGAGATCCACCGCCTCAGCCTCTCAAAGCGCTGGATTACAGGCATGAGCCACCAGGCCAGGCTGATATAACTGAATTCTTAAAGCCTTTATTTTCTGCATAAATATGGAAGGCAGAAAAAGGCTAATTTCTGAAGAGCTACAGTTAGTGAAACCAGTGCTTCCCATTTTAGATATATATTTGTTTATATTTAAGATTATATTAAAGCCTAAAGAAAATGCTTGATCTAGAAGAACCATTTCTTTGAAAAATACAGAAGGGCATCAACCTTTATATATTTTTAAGTCATTGTAAAATTATTGTATTCTGCAGAATTAGTCAGTTTGCTGCAGTATTCGGCATTAGTCCAGGGGAATTTAAGTCACTAAAATGTGGCAAAATGATTATCTGATCTCACCGAAATCAACCAGCCTTCCTTCCTTCCTTCCTCCCTCCGTCCCTCCCTCCTTCCTTCCTTCCTTTTCTCTCTCTTTTCTTCCTTCCTTCCGCCCTTCCTCCTCCCCTCCTCCCCTTCCCTCCCCTTCCCTCCCCTCCCCTTTTCTTTCTCTTTCTTTCTTTCCTTCCTTCTTTTTCTTTTTCCTTTCTTTCTCTCTTTCTTCTTTCTCTCTCTCTTTATCTTTCTTTTTTTCTTTCTGAATCAAGCTATATAAAGAACTAGCCTTTATGTAAACTAAAAATATAAGCACAAAACCAATTATACACTAAATATTTCTATACATTTAGAAAAATCACATGCTGACATAAAATTACATGGTTGCCAAAACAACCTTTCCTCCTTCTTCCCTTCCTTTCTGTCTCTTTCTTTCAGCTGAGTTATGTGCTGTACTGCAATTTCAATCACTGATCTTAAAAATTAGATGGTAAATATTTAGGATATATTGAGTCATTTACATTATCACACAGTCACCTACTCCTGGGTACAATTCAGCCAGCTAGGAAAACAGAAGGAAAATTATGTTTTGAATGCTAATTGCTATATGTATGCAAGAAAAATTTTTTCTTCTACTAACTATATTATATGCAGATATTTGACTGTTGTATAGGTATTTTCTTTAAGTCAAAAATCCATTTTATTTTGATAAAATAATTTGAGATATGGTTGCTTTAAACTGCGTTTTAATACAATGCTCTGTTTGAATTCATATCTCATGAATGTGAAAATTTGCCAAAAACATATTATTCTATTTTGAATATATTAACACACTTAAGAAACTTTAGGGTCCATATGGCTTGTGATAATAATTAGCATAGTTCAGAATGCTGGAGTAACTATTCGGTAATCTCCAGACCTTCTAATGGAAAGATTATAAGGCTGGAGATGTTGCTTATTTTAATATAGTTCTTATAACATCCTTTATCTCTCACTCACTGTCCAGGATGAAAAATAATTCATAGTAATTGTGCATTGTGATTATGGTAGTTTTATACATTTTTAAACCTCAGAATTTACTTTTTTATTTT
Organism: Homo sapiens; assembly: GCF_000001405.40. NCBI lineage: Eukaryota > Metazoa > Chordata > Mammalia > Primates > Hominidae > Homo > Homo sapiens. The sequence goes on along the minus strand of NC_000006.12, from coordinate 68,577,821 downwards.
TAAAGAAAAATTCTTATATATATATATCCATATTTTATGACCCAAAACTGTGGTTATAAATTCTATTTAAAATTTGAATTGAAGTGAAACAGTACAGTGTAAAGATTTCCTTAAAAAAGAGTAGATGAAAATGGCACTGCCAAACTATGTTACCGAGGCAGCAAATTATGTACCTATATGAAAAATGGAGGAAAATTCATCAAGAATGTCAACACATCCTTTGGGCCTCAACAGGTTGTCTGGCATCCACGTGGAATTGAGTCCCATACAATAGAAGAAGAGTCAAGTTTTGCTGTCACTAGGATGGACAAGATACTATCTGGCGATAAAGCCAAGTCTAGAGTCCTATTACCTTTGACTCTTAAAACCTTCTGGATAATAGAAGATTTAAAGGTGTGATGTAATGGTTATCTTGAAAAAAAAATAACCAACAAAAACTGCGCCTGATGCTATATTATCTGATCTTTCCCAAATGCTGCTGCTGCTGCTGCTGTTGATGATGATGATGATAATAATAATAATAATGATATATTAATGGATTTTATAATGTGCAAATCTTTTATCTCTTGTAAATATAGTCCAAATCACCTTGGTACAAAGGTATTATTTCCACTTGTTGTTTTTCAGTGGAGAAAACTAAAGTTTAGCATGAGTTGCCTATGGTCACGTAGATAATAAGTGATGAATGTAGTTCTTAAATATTGTTCATGCTATTCTAGGTGCTTTGCCTCTAGGTAGAATCTTTGAAATAAAGTCCTATCTAGAATGATGCAATTTTGAAATGTTAAATAAAAACATAGTTTGGGAAGTTTAAACATTATTTGAAACAGAGATTGTAGCAAAGTGAAAAGAACACTGAATTAGGTTTTCTGAAGTAGCACTTAAGAATTGTGTGAATACCATTAGTCTATGGAGTTTCTAGGTCTTGGTTTGCTTATTTACAAAATGACAATAAATACTTGTTCCACTTACATCTCAGGATCATTAGGAGATTCAAGAAAAATATCTACATTGTTACAGATTTAATATCTGTATTTACATGAAAAGACCTGAAAAGCACTTTGCAGAGAAAAAGACCACACGGATCAGAAAGTTTGTAGGGGAAACTGTTTCTCTTTGTTTGTTTAATGTGTAGCAAGCATTATTAAGTCAGATTTGTGAAAAATCATGTTTGGAAGCTGAAATAACAACCTCAAATCTCTGAAAAGACTGAAAAGACATTGCTTCTCCCTCCCTCATGTCCTTCTCCGGTGCAAGCCACTCAAAAAAGATTTAATGTTTTAGAGAAATAAACATTTTGATAAGGCTCTAGCAGACACTGTTGGTGTCTCAAATGAATTCCTGGAAATCCCTTTTATCTTCAGCTATGGACACCCTTTTTCAACCTCTCCTGGAGGACTGCCTTGGGCTGTGGAACTGCTGCACTCATGAGACCAGAAGATGACTGACTGGTGCTGGAGCACAAAAGCCCTTGCCTCCTGGCAGACAGACTGTAACTTTGGCACCAGGAACTGGTTTTGTGGAAGACAATGTTTTTTTTCATGTGGGGCGGGGGTGGGGTGGGGAGCGCATGATCGCTCATGCGCAGTTCACAAATGGGCAGTTCACAGTAGGGTTCACGCTGCTATGAGAATCAAATGTCCCGCTGATCCGACAGGAGGTGAAGCTCAGGCGGTAATGGCTGGCCTGTTGCTCACCTCCTGCTGTGCGGCCAGGCTCGCCACAGACCTATAGGATCTGCCGCCCGGGGCTGGGGACGCCTGCTCTAGAGCACTAGGTATGATCGGGCTGAGGCTGGACCTCACCTGAAACTGCATTTTTATTTGTTCTCCCCTTTTCTTCTGCCACTCCACTCACTGTCTTACAGGTTTCTCCAGAGAATACTCCCTTAATAAATCACAGTTGTTAAGAATCTCAGTCTCAGGCTCTTCTAATGAACTTGACCTAAGACAGGATCTGATAGCTGTTACTTGATTCAAAGCTTTTAAGAAATATTTCAGGTAACTTAAATTTTAGGTAACTTGTTTATTAAACATGAAACTGAACTTTGGTAAAGGAAGTAAAAATGAGAACTCAGATGAAGAGTGAAGATGATGAATAAAAATGTGAGAAAAAGTCTTGTCTAGTTCGTAATTTTACATAATCTAGACACGGATAGAGTTCCTAGGTCATATTGTTAACTGTGATGAAAATTAATCTTTGTATTAAAAACTATAGAAATAATGGGTTACTCAGCCTTGCCTCACACACACAAAAAATCACATTAGTTTTAAAGCAGATTTTTAAGTGTTGGCTTCCTCTTTCTCCCTACGATTTATTTAAAATGAACTTTAATGTGTCGGTTTTTCATTCTGCCCTTTCTTACCTTTTTAATACCGAAGTAGCTGGTAACTATAGACATGGGTGACCTTGTTTTCAGGATATAAATAATTTGTTATGCACATATCTCAGTCTTTGGCTTGGAACCTGGAGTAACAAAACTCAGAGATACTGGAAAGATGCTGCTTCTCCCCTCTTCCACGCCACTCAAAAATTAATGAGTGTTTGTCCACCAACAAACTCTTTCCTAAGTCTACTCAGAAAACAAAATCTATTTTGGGGAAGATTTTTTAATTGTAGTATTGCTACATATTTTTATTACTGCATAATAGAATCACATATTTTGGGGATACTAGGATAATTTGATACATTTATATAATGTGTAAAGATGAAATCAGAGTAACTGGGACATCTATCATCTTAAATATTTATCTTTTTAAATATTAGGAACATTTGAAATATTCTTTTAGATATTTTGAAATATACACTAGATTAATGTTAACTCTAGCCACCCTACTAATCTATCAAATGCTAGGTCTTATTTCTTTATCCCTCCCTCCCTCCCTACTACCATCCCCAGTCTCTGGTAACCATCAGTCTACACTTTATCTTTATGAGATCCAAGTTTTTAGTTCCCACATATAAGTGAGAACCTGGAATATTTGTCTTTCTGTGCCCGGCTTATTTCAGCAAACACAGTGGCCTCTAGTTCTATCCATGGTGCTGCAAATGACAGGATTTCCTTCTTTTTCATGGCTGAATAATATACCACTTTGTTTATATACCACATTTTCTTTATCCACTCAGGTTTTTTTTTGGACACATAGGTTGATTCCATATCTTGGTTATTGTGAGTAGTGCTGCAATAAACATGAGGGTGCAGATATCTTTAATATAATGATTTTCTTTCTTTCAGGTAAATTCCAAATAATGGAATTGTTGGATCATATGGTAGTTCTATTTTTGGTAGTTTTTGAGGAATCTCTATACTGTTCTCCATAGTGGCTGCACTAATTTACATTCCCATGAAAAGTGTATGAGGATTCACTTTCTCTGCATCCACTCCAGCATTATTTATCACCTGTCCTTTGGATAAAAGCCATTTTACCTCGGCAAGATAGTATCTCTTTGTGATTTTGATTTGCATTTCTTTGACAGTTAGTGATGTTGAACATTTTTCATATACCTGCTGACCATTTCTATGTCTTCTTTTGAGAAATGTCTATTCGGATCTTTTGTTTATTTTTAAATTGATTATTAGATACTTTGCTCATGAGTTGTTTGAGCTCCTTCTATATTCTGGTTATCAATCCTTTATTAGATCAATAGTTTGTAAATATTTTATCCTATTCTGTAGGTTGTCTCTTCACTTTGTTGATTGTTTCCTTTTTGGGGCATAAGCTTTTTTAGCTTGATGTAATCTCACTTGTCTATTTTTGCTTTCGTTGCCTGTGCTTTTGAAGTCATGCACAAAAATATCTTCACCCAGAACAATGTCCTGCAGCATTTCACCAGTGCCAATGTTTACTTACTTATTTTTTTTTTTTTACAGTTTCAGGTCTTATATTTAAGTCTTTTATTCATTTTGATTAGATTTTTGTTTGTGGTAATAAATAGGGGTCTGCATTCATTTTTCTGCACATGGATATTCAGTTTTTCCCAGCAGCATTTATTGAAGAAACTGTCCTTTCCCCAGTGGAAAGGATAGGTGGGAGTGCTTCTCTGCTCTTCTCACTCATCTGACAACCTGCTTACTGCTCAACTGTTGGGAAGCCCCTCTATCCTCACAACCCAGGGCAACATTATTGCCCAGAAGAACTTTCTGGGAACAGAGAACTGGATGGCCCACTCTTGCAGCCATGCCCACACTCCCCTCAGAAACATACTGGTTGTGCCATACTGGTTGTGTCCCTGTGGTGCCACTGCCCTGCCCAGGGATGCTCTGCCCTTAAGAAAGTGCAACACCAGATCATTTGCAAAAATACCACACAACCTGTTCTGACTTTGGCAAGCACAGGGGACCAGCAGGTCCCTGGGAAGTTGTGGGTCCTCTGGAGACCTAACCCTTGGTATGGATTGCCCCAAAGGGAGGGGGAAGCACAGCCTGACAAAGCTCCCCTTGGAACAATGGAAACATGGACACGGTGTCAGCTGCTGAAGGTACTGCAAATGGCAAAGGGTTCATCTCCTGGCCCTTCTGCCCCATACATTATTGCCGACACAGCATTTCCTCCAGCAAGACCTGGTGAGCATTCACTGAAATAAGGTGCATTTTGTGCTTTTCTGGCAGCTCTACCCACACTGAAAGTCAACATGCACTGAATGAAACTGGCTTTTTATGCATTCCCAGTGTCTCTACCAAACTGAAAGTGAACCTGCACCTGCTTGGGCTTTCACGAAGAGTGGGGTAAAGCACCCCTTCCTATACAGAGCAGCAGCACCCTGGCAACAGAGGACAGAACGTGGAGTTGCCTGCCATGCACTGGGGTTAGAGAGTGCCCCAACTCACATTCTAGCATTAGCTGTCAGAGAGACAGATCCATGTCCCACAGCTACAGTGCATCAGGGAACCAAAGGATGAAGCCTTTGTAAACATGTCATAAACCAGGTGAGTAAAGGGAAGCGGATTATGTTTCTGTTGGGGAAGGATGAGGAACTGGTACCCACACTTAGCCCCTTTCCCCAGAGACTAAAGCTTAACACATTATAATCTCTTCCTGCAAGGCCTGTCAGGGTGGGTGTGTCCTCTAGGCAGCAGTCTACCTGCAAGCTCTTACTCTTAAGCACCATCTACTGGACTTCAGCCTGAACTGCACCACCAACAAAAATACATCACTACGACAAGCAGCATCTGAGAAAGCTACCACATAGGACCTATCCACAACCAAAGAATCCATACAGAGCCTTTGTCCCCTGAAAGCACCCAGAAACAAAGCCAAATGATCATCCACAACATAAACTACAGTAATACCCTCAAAAAAGAATTTAGAAAAGCCTCGTCACAACTTTAGCAATTTCAAAAATAAGACATGATAGCTCCCTAGGATGAGAAAGAACTAGTTTAATAACTCTGGCAGTGCAAAAAGCCAAGGTGTTTTGACACTTCACAAAAATTGTGCTAGCTCTCTAGCAATGGATCCTAACCAGGGTGAAATGTATGAAATGGCAGATTAAAAAAATTCAAAATATGGATTTTAAGAAAACTCAGTGAGATCCAAGGGAAAGTTGAAATTTATTACCAAGAAACCAAAAAAAGAATCCAGGACACAAAAGATAACATAGTTACATAAAGAAGGAGCCAAAAAATACTCTTAGAATTGAAAAAATTTACTACAGGAATGTCAACATACCATTGGAATACTTAACAATAGACTAGACCAAGCAAAAATAAGAGATTCAGAGCTTGGAGATGAGTCTTTTGAATTAACCCAGTCAGAAAAAATAAAGAAATAAGATTTTTAAAAAGTGAACAAACCTTTCAAGAAATATGATATTATGAAGAGTAACCAAATCTACAACTTATTGGCATTCCTGAGAGAGAAGACAAAGTAAGTAAATTGGAAAACATATTTCAGAGAATAATTCAGGAACATTTTCCCCATCTTACTAGATAGGTTGACACCTAGATACAAAAAATTCAGAGATCTCCTGCAGAATATTATTCAAGATGATCATCACAAGACACATAGTCATTAGACTATTTAAGGTCAATGTGAAAGAAATATATTAACAGCAGTTAGAAAAAAGGGCCAAGCCATCTATAAAGGGAATCACGTTAGCTGATTTCTTAGCAAAAACATCACAAGCCACAAGTGATTGGTAGCCTATTTTTAGTCTTCTTAAAAAAAATGCCAACCAATAATTGCATATCCTGCCAAACTAAGCATCATAGGCCAAGGATAAATAAAGTCTTTTTCAGATAAACAAATTCTAAGGGAATTTGACACCACCAGGCAGTAACTATAAGAATTGCTTAATAGAGTTCTTAACATGGAAACACAAGAATGACACTTGCTACCATAAAAACACATGTAAGTACAAAGCTCGCAGACCCTGTAAAGCCATAATACAATTGAGACTGCAAAACAACTATGTGACAACACTATGACAGGAACAAAACCTCACATATCAATATTGATGTTGAAGATAAATGGCCTAAATACTCCGTAAAAGCAGAGAGGCAAGTTAGATAAAAAACAAAACAAACAAACAAAAAACAAAAACAAAACAAACAGAAAAAAACAAGACCCAACCTTCTATTGTCTTCAAGAGACCCATGTCACATGTACTGACACCCTCAGGCTTAAGATAAAGGGGTGGAGAAACATATATTACACAAATGGAAAACAATAAAGAGCAGCGGTCACTATTCTTGTATAGGGTAACGCAGACTTTAAATCAACAATAGTAAAAAAGGACAAAGAACATTATACAAAGTTAAGGTGTTAAATTCAACAAGATTTAACTATTCTAAATCTGCACCCCCAACACTGAAACACCAAGATTTATTAAAAAATATGATTAGACCTAAGAAAAAGGATAGACAGACATACTATAACGGTGAGTGACTTCAGCACCCCACTGGCAGCGTTAGATGGATCACTGAGGCAGAAAACTAACAGATAAATTCTGGACTTAAGTTGGAGACTTGACCAAATAGATCTAATAAACATTTACAGAATATACCACCCAGCAACCGCAGAATATACATTCTTCTTCTCATCTATACATGGAACAGTCTCTAAGATTGGCCACATAATTGATCATAAACCAAGTCTCAATACATAAAAAAAATCAAAATGATCAAGCAGCTCCTTGGACCACAGTGGAATAAAACTAGAAATCAATACCAAGAGAAACTCTCAAAACTACACAAACACATGGAAAATAAACAACTTGATCCTGAATGACTTTAGGGTTAACAAGAAAATTAAGGCAGAAATAAAAAAAATTCTTTGGGAAAAAATGAAAATAGACACACAAAATACCAAAACCTCTGGGATACAAAAAAGGCAGTGTTAAAAGGAAAGTTTATAGTGCTAAATTCCTACATAAAAAATATATATATATCTCAAATTAACAATCTAATGTCACATCTAAACAAACTAGAAAAACAAGAACAAACTAAATCCTAGGGAAGTAGAAGAAATAACAAAGATCAGAATAGAACTAAATTAAATTAAGACCAAAAAGCTATACAAAGGATCAATGAAATGAAAAGTTGGTTTTCTGAAAGGATAAACAAGATTGATATACCATTAGCTTAATTTAAAATGAAAAAAAGAGAGAGGATTCAAATATGCACAATCAGAAATAACAAAGATGACATCACAGCTGATACCACAGAAATACAAAAGATCCTAGAGACTACTACGAAGACCTCTATGTACACAAAGTAGAATATCTGTAAGAAATGAATAAATTCTTAGAAACAACTTCCCAAAATTGAACCAGGAAGAAACTAAATCCCTGAACAGACCAATAACGAGTTCTAAAATTGAATCAGTAATGGAAAACCTACAACCAGAAAAAGCTCTGTACCAGATGGCTTCACAGCTGAATTCACCAGACTTACAAAGAAGAGCTGGTATCAACTTGACTAATATTTCAACAAATCACAGAGAAGGGATTCCTCCTTAACTCATTCTACAAAACCAATGTCATCCTGATAGCAAAATCTGGCTAAGACATAATTAAAAAGAGAACTACAAATATCCCTGATGACACATAAATCCTCAACAAAATACTATCAAACTGAATCCAGTAGCATATCAAAAAGGTAATGCAGCATGATCAAGTAGGCTTTATTACTGGGATTCCATATGTAAAAGATGTTTTTACATATTCAAATCAATGTGTGATTCACCATGTAAACAGAATTAAAAACAAAAACCATAGAATCATCTCAATAGATGCAGAAAAAACATTCAGTAAAATCTAACATTCCTTCATGATAAAACTCTCAACAAACTAAGTATTAAAGGAACATACCTTAAATGAATAGGAGCCATCTACAAGAAACCCCCAGCCAACATCACACCTTATGGGAAAAAACTGGAAGAATTTTTCCCAAAAACTGGAACAAGGCAAGGATGTCCAGTCTCACCACTCCTATTCAGCATAATACTGGACGTCCTCACCAGAACAATCGGGCAAGATAAAGAAATAAAAGGCATTAAAACAGGAAAAGAGGAAGTCACATTATCTCCACTTGCTGATAATATTATTATTATTTTTTTTTTGAGATGGAGTCTTGCTCTGTGGTCAGGCTGGAGTGCAGTGGCATGATCTCGGCTCACGGCAACCTCTGCCTCCCTGGTTCAAGCGATTCCCCTGCCTCAGGCTTCCAAGTAGCTGGGACTACAGGTGCGTGCCACCATGCCTGGCTAATTTTTTGTATTTTAGGGTTTCACCATGTTGACCAGGATGGTCTCGATTGCCTGACCTTGTGATCCATCCACCTTGGCCTCTCAAAGTGCTAGGATTACAGGTGTGAGCCACCACACCGGCCAATGATATAATTCTATACCTAGAACAAAATAAAGATTCCTCCAAAAGACTCCTAGACTTGACAACTTCAATAAAGCTTCAGGACAAAATCAACATAAAAAATCAGTAACTTTTCTATAAACCAATAACATTCAAACTAAGAACCAAAGCAAGAATGCAACCCCTATTTACAATAAACACACACACACACACACACACACACACACACACACACACCCTAGGAATACATCTAACCAAGAGATGAGAGACCTCTATGAGAAGAAGAGCTAAACACTGATCAAAGAAATATTAGATGAGACAAACAACTGGAAAAATATTCCATGCTCATGGATAGGAAGAATCAATATAATTAAAATGATCATATTGCCCAAAGCAATCTACAAATTAAGTACAGTTCCTATCAAATTTTCCAACGTCATTTTTTCACAGAATGAGAAAAATTATTTCTAAAATTCATATTGATTAAAAAAGAGCCTGAATGGCCAAAGCAATCCTAAGCAAAAAAGAAGAAAGCTGGAGACACCACATTACCCAATTTTAAACTATACTACAAGGCTGTAGTAACCAAAACAGCATGGTACTGGTACATAATCATACACATTGGCCAATGGAATGAAATAGAGAACCCAGAAATAAAGCCATACACCTACAACTAACTGATAATTGGCAAAGTCAATAGAAATAAACAATGGGGAAAGAACACCTTATTCAATAAATGTTACTCAGAAAACTGGCTAGCCATATGCAGAAGAATGAATCTGAACCCCTACTTCTCACCATATACAAAAATTAACTCAAGATAGATTAAAGACTTCAATGTAAGACCTCAGACTACAAAAATACTTAAAGAAAGCCTACAGAACAACCCTTTTGGACATTGGCCTTGGCAAAAAATTTATGACTAGTGCTGCAGAAGCAAATGCAACAGAAATGAAAACTGACAATTGGGATTTAATTAAACTAAAGAGCTTCTGCACACACATACACACACCAAAGAGTAAATAGACAACCTACAGAATGGGAGAAAATTTTTGTAAGTGATGCATCTGACAAAGGCCAAATATTCAGGATCTATGAGTAACTTAAATCAACAGGAATCTCTCACTAGTCAGAATGGCTGTTATCAAAAAGTAAAAAAAAACATGACAGATGTTGGCAAAGATGCAGAGAAAAGGGAATGCCTATACACTGTTGGTGGAAATGTAAATTAGGTTAGCCCCTGCAAAAAGCAGTGTGGAGATTTCTCAAATTACTAAAAGTAGAACTATCATTCGACCCAACAATTCCACTACTGGATAGCTACCTGAAGGAAAAGAAATTGTTCTACTAAAAAGACACCTGCACTAAAATGTTTATTGCAGTACTATTCACAATAGTGAAGTCATAGAATCAACCTAGATACCTGTTAACTGGATTGGATAAAGAAAATGTAAATATACATCATAGAATACTATGTAGCCAAAAATAACGAAATCCTCAAATTTACAGCAACGTGGGTGGAGCTGGAGGCCATTATCCAAAGTGAATTATCACGGAAACAGAAAAACACATACTGCTTGTTCTCACTTATAAGTGGAAGCTAAACAATGGGTATATGTAGACATAAAGATGAAAATAATAGACAATGAGGACTCCAAAAGGGAGGAGGGAGGGAGACAAGGGTTGAAAAACCACCTATTGGGTACTATGCTCACTTTTTGAGTGATGCGTTCAATAGAAGTCCAAGCCTCAGCATTATACTATATATCCATGTAACAAACCTGCACATGTATCCCCTAGATCTAATAAAATAAAATAAAATAAAATGATCGATGGTTGCCAAGGGTTTGGCAGCAGGGAGGGATGAATCGGCAAAAAGAATAGGGCACTGGAAGTTATCTGCATGATACTGTAATGATGGATACATGTCATACATTTGTCAAAACCCAAAGTATGTCCAACACTCTTAGTGGCCTCATATATAAACTATGGACTTTGGGTCATTACGATGTGTCAATGTAGCTTTCTCAATTGTAAGTAATGTACCACTCTGCTGGGGGATTTCAGTAATAGAGCAGGCTGTGCATGTATATGGGGAGGAAGCATATGGTAAATCTCTGTACTTTCTTCCCAATTTTGTTGTGAAACTAAAACTTCTCTAAAAGATAGTCTTTAAAAGTAAAAATACAAAGTAAAAATTTATTTCTGACTTTGTCTCCAAAGTTCTAGACTATTTCTTGCCATCTTTTCTAACTTCATTTCCACTGCTGCTCCTTAACTTTTCACTACCTTGTCCTCTTAGCTGCATCTGAATTGTTTTGCTTAGCATTGCTATCTGAATCTAACTGGTCATCCTCACTTGCTCATACTTAGTTAGCTATAGATTTCCCTGGATTCTTAATATGAGCTGAGTATCTCTTATTCTAAATGCTTGAGACCAAAAGTGTTACAGATTTCAGATATTTTTAGATTTTAGATTTTGCATGTAAATAATGAGATATCTTGTACATGGGACCCAAATCTTAACACAATTTTTTTTGTTTCATGTACATCTTACGCACATAACTTGAAGCTCATTTTATACAATATTTTAGATAATTTTATGCAAACTTTATCTAATTAAATTTTGAGACAAACTTTTGACGTATTTTGACTGCAATCTATCACATGAGATCAGGTGTGAAATTTTCCACTTCTGGTGACATGTTGGCACTCAAAACATTGTGGATTTGGAGCGCTTCAGATATTGAATTTTTGGGGTAGGGTTGCTTAACCTGTAGTCACAAATGATTGAAGTCTGTCAGATAGACTTTCTTACTCGCTCCAGCACTTTGTCCTACTCCATTTTTGTTTATTCTGTGCCAGTTCATGGATGGTGACTGCCCATGAAATCACCATGAGAGGACAGAATGAGTCCGAGCTGATGTCCTGCCCGATGAAAAGTTAACAAGGGAGAAAAATATTGAAAAAAAGGATGAATTGGCTGTAGCACAGAAAGTTAGATGGCAGTGCATGGCCAGTTTTGCTTCATTATTCCTTTATGTTACAATTTTCCAAGCATTTTCTATTTAATTATTAAATATTTAATATTATTTATGAGGTAAATACTATCTCCATTTTAAGATAAGAAAACTTGTTTCAGAAAGCTTAATAGTGTTGCTAAGATTCAAATCCATATTTGCCTCACTCTAAAACTGCCCTATTAACAATTTATTGTTACTGTATAATTGGCACCCAAAATATTTCTGACACAAATATTTGAATTGCTTATACTTTAGACATAGCTGGAATTAATAGCTAATAAATATTGGCTTCATATAAAAGCTGCTTATGCAACCCAGCAAGCTCCCATGACTTTTTTCTTCTTTTGTCTCCACTTTAAAAGAAAAAATTTGGACTTTGATGAAGGGTTGGAGAGGTGGTATGAATGCTCCTGCTAATAATTTATCCACTTTCCAGAGCTTTGATCTTTTCTCTTCTGTAGTCTTGTTTACTGGCTTTCCCTATAAACCCACTATCATCAGTTTCTTCTTTCTTCTTTCCAATCCTTATCTCGCTGTGCAAGATACATTTTTTTAATCAAACAGCATCTTATTTTTTTTTAGATGAGGTTTTGCTATGTTGCCCAGGCTTGTCTTGAACTCCTGAACTCTAGCAATTCTCCTGCCTCAGCCTCCCTAGTAGCTGCCATTATAAGAAGATACCACCATTTTTTGTTTGTTTGTTTAAGACCAATAATCTTTTAAATAATTTATTCCAACTATTTTTAATTCCTGTACAGTTTTAACTCTGTGAAGTTTCATGTTATGAGTATAATTGCAAGTGGCTTTATGAAAATAGAGATGTACTATAATATCCCCTCTCATTTACAGTGAAGGCAAAACATTATTTGAAGTCATTGTACTATTCAAAAAATAAGATTTCATCAATATAGAACATATACTGGGATTCAGTATATGTGGGATTCTGTGATTCAATCCAGAGCAAGATGCTTAGTCTTTCCAATTTTATAATTAACTAAAATGGAGACACAAAAGGGGTCACATCCTTCATGGTTTGTTTGGGAGACATTGAAACATGTGAAAACACCATAGTGAGATATCTTGTGCTGGGGAAGCTGTTGCTATTACAATCATTATTTGAAAGTTTTATGATAGGAATAAAAATTATTCTTTGGTTTGGTCATCACCACCCAATGTTTAAATTTGAACAGCTTTGCACATAAACTATTTGTTTGGTTAGAAAGTTTTGTTTATTTGTTTGTTTTGATATGTTATAACTCAAGTTCTTATTTTCTTTTTAGTGAAAACTAAGGAACATTCTTTGAAGGGCTGTTTTACTCTCTAGTAGAAAAAGTATGTGATTTGCCACCAACCAACAAGATATCACAATGAAACAGGACATCCATTTTTTCAGCCAGTTTTGAAGCAGCTTCATACCATTACTTTCAAGGGTTATGAGTTTATTATATCTTCTTTGTGCACTTACCAAAGACAAAACAAGGAATTATTTCCACAGTTCATTCAGATAATGGATGAAAACTCACAGGAACTTCCAGATGGAGTGTCAAGATTTCATTGGGGAAAGAAAACAAGTTTTAGTTTTGGGCACTTAGAAACTTGAGAAAAAAATAATCGGGTAATCTATGATACTGTTAGGGCCTTTAGTTCTAGAAAATATTAATAAACCATCTGTCAAGATGGTTACTGAAGTCCTAAAAATTTTACAGACTTGAAGATCTAATGCAAGATTCGCATAATTTTTTGAATATTATTTTGTGGTCTTTATTGTTAGAGATCAATAAAACCAAATTTCCTATTTTAAATAATATATCTTTACCAATATAAATGAAGCAAGTAAATATCTGTCCATGAAACACTACATTACATGACAGATCTAACAAAAGTGTAATCCTATATACATGTACATTCTAGAATTGAACCCACTACTTCCTAATTTATGAAATAATACTTCTACACACTTTTAATATACAGTACTTCAGATAATAACTGCCCATTTGGTCAATTATCCCCTTTTATGAATAAGAATATTAACATTGATACACTATTTTGGTTTTTGAAGTTTGCAGTGATCAAAGAGTCCTTTTTCCCTCCAGAACTCTTAAAAATCGTGCTTATTTTCTACTTGCTGTATTTGTGTATTCTCTTTCAATAGATCATCTATTTCCCTTGCTGTAAATTAAGCTGGAAAGTATTTATAATGTTAGTATGTAGTGGAGGTTACATTGTGCAATTTTGCAACAAACTCAAATGGCCAAAATGGCCAAAAAAAGTTTCTGTATAAATACACGAGTCTGACAAACAATACGTGTCCTGGAGATCTTTCCACATGTGAGTTTGGTCACTATGGATTTTCATGGTTTTTATGAACAATCTTTTCTGAACTTCCTTTTGACTATGGTGAGAATCAGGATGTCATACATAGCAAGGAGTTGCCCTGTTAACAGCTCTGCATGATAAGGGATCAGGGTAGAATTGTAAACCATCATCATCTGCTGAGCCTTCCTGTAAGGTCTTTTGTAGAGGAGAGTGACTAGAGATGGAATACAATGATATTAAAATGAGAGTTAATTGATAAGGTGGACTTTTTTCTCGTTTAGTCTACTTGTGTAGATAAAGATGTCTTTTCTCTCCTTTATGTTTTCTTTTCATCTTTTATTTTTCCTTCTTTCTTTAAGAATCCCAACTCTTTCATCTACCTACATCTATCATGGACAACCTGCACCATTTACTTTTTCTTCCTTTCAATAACATTTCCAACGTAATGCCCCTTGTTTCTTTACATTCATAGGCAGAGCTCCAAACTCTTATGACTGGGACTATGTTTTTGGAAAGTAGATATATATTTGCAAGTCTTGTCACACAGTTGTCTTATAGAGATTTTTTTTGATGACAGATTTTTAACTTCTAATGGGCACAGAGACTTTTTGAAGTTTAAGTTTTGAACAATTCCTTGTATTCAATGCTCTAACTGGCTGGTGGTGTGTTATAACATACAATTATATTGCATGGATTAATATTTTTCTTCTCTTTTCCTAAAAATTATGTAACTCTTATCCAGAAAACATTGTAGCTAATATTGAGATCTTCATTCTAAAAATTTGACTAGCTCTTTCTTTAAGAACAGTAAAAGAAAGCAAAATCAAATTATTTATTTTTGTATCTATTAAAAGTATAAAACAGAGCCAGCTTTTTATTGCTAAAAATATATAAGTCCTTTTAAAGTATCAATTATTGTGTTAGAGCTAAACAGATATTAAAAAATAATTTTAAAGAATAATTTTAAGAAAAAGGAATAAAATATTTGAACACATTTTGAAAGCACAAAAATTAGGTATTAATGCCTCATTTTTTAAATAATAAACACGAGCAACACATGTAAGCATGGATCTTAGTATAAAGTGCTGTTATCTCTATTACACAATGACACAAAAAGTCAAGAAAACATAAATAAACTGAGTAGATTTTTTATAGCAAAGTACAGGCCAGAGTCTTCACTGACTCATCAGAGAGTTTCATTAATTATATACATAGAAAAGATTCCCCTTCCTTCCAGCCCAATACAGCCCCATTATGGAACCTATACCCTCACGAGCAGAATGCAGGCAGATTTCAGCCCACAACCACCTCTTTACACAATTGTGCTTGTGCAGGACACACCTGCCAATACATCCTGTGCCATACATCCTTAGTGAAAGTTGTAGAACAGCCCTAAATGTGTCTTTGAAGTAAAAAAAGGTTAGAAATATTCCCTCCCTACTTTCACTTTCCAGTTTTATACTCACATGCACATATTCTAGGCAAAATATGGAATAATATTCATGGTAATAATTTTTATTCACACAGTCTAATACTATTATCACAAGCTTGAGTAATTCAACCTGTCATGTATCCTTCTTAATCATATTCTTTTGTGATCTGATAGTTCTAATACGTTCTAACAAATTTAAAATTTTCACCAAGTGAGCTCTGACACCCTTTCATTCTTCATAATTTAACTTCACTTAGTTTTAATTGATTCAAGGGAGTGGCCTTAAGATACTCTTAAAACATGAACCAAAAATTAGGACTTAACATTTCAGAAAGTAGAACAAATTGCAAAACCTTTTTGGCTTTGACTTTATTCTTTTACTGAACCCTGCCTTTCTGGTCTGATTTTGATTGTTGTGTACTAATTGTTTCCAGTTCCTTAGTTTGTAATTGCTGCAAAATAGCTTCATGTTACTTTGTCATTTATCAAGCTCAAATTAAACAATTGACCTTAATAGGAATAATTTGCTGCTTCCTTGGCTAATATATTAATTAACAGTCATTTCTGCAACTAATTCATTTCTGATACCAGAGCAAACAGTTCATAGTAAGCTATATTCCTTTTCTTTTTTTTTCATAGTATTCTTGATTAGGCAGATTCAGTAGATTATATCTCCTGATTTTCCTGAATTAGAGAGGAAGCTCATCATTCCATCAAAAATAGAATCTGATCAATTTGAAAA
The DNA here is from genome assembly GCF_000001405.40 of Homo sapiens. Taxonomy (NCBI): domain Eukaryota; kingdom Metazoa; phylum Chordata; class Mammalia; order Primates; family Hominidae; genus Homo; species Homo sapiens. The sequence continues at coordinate 68,561,500 of NC_000006.12, read as the reverse complement.
ATAGGGTTATGTACAAGTTCTGTTCTATCCTGCATACTATTACAAAATTTTGCAAATTGATTTTGCTTAACATGTCATATTTTTCAACCAAAAAGTTATGTCAAATGGGCAAATTAGTATCTTTCATGCTGTTAAAGTAACAAGATGCAGGGCAAGAACTGTGTTGTATATTACCATATTCACCGTTGCAAATTTGCAAAATTCCAGCAGCAGAGTAAGTGCTTAATAAATCTCTGCTCAATTTAATTTCTTAGTCATTTTCTTGATTATACTTTCATACTAATCTTCTGGGTCTGGTAGGTGACAATGATTTTGTTGAAACCCTAGAAAGAGGCATATGATATAGATTGAAAATCATGAAATTGAAATCTGGGCTTAAAACACCTTCAAATTCCCCTCCGAAATTATTAGGCTTTAATGACATCTTTAGGTTCAGGCAAGGTATATGATTGCCTGGATGTGTGTAAGATATTTTGAGATTTCATATATATATATATATATATCATATATAAATTTATATATGATATCTAATATATACCATATATAAATGATATCAAATTTAATATAGTATACACAATATCATATATGTATATAATATACATATAATATAATATACATTATATACGTATATTATATAATATACATATTATATGTATATTATATACATATATATGTATATAATATACATATATGATATATACATATTATATACATATATACGTATATAATATTACATACATATATTTTGATAAGTAATTAGGAAGCATATAAAAAATCTAAGAGGCCATTTGCTGCCTTATAGCTACATATATATTATGGTATGTGGTAATGGGAAAAGTTATCCTTTTCAATCTTAAAGAATATGCAAGGGCATGGTTTATATAAACAATTTAGAGTTTAAGCGGGAAACAATAATCAATATACTGAGCACAGAAACATTTTATATCACTTTTTTACAGAAAAACAAAAATGAAGAGTGATTTGGGGGTTGGTAGTGTGAGGAACGAATGTTCATGGGAATAGGGTAGCAGTGAAGTACTTAGAACCAATGTTAATTTACTCTGGGATATAGCCTACTGACTAATTAGTCCAGATAGGAAAATCTTAATGCCATGCTGTTTTTCCCCTTGAAAACCGTAGAAACAAAAACATTTGCCTTAATTTTAAACATCAGTTTAATTTTAGCTGTTGCTAGTTTCAAATGTTCATTTTCCTTGCATTCATTTCACTGACATTTTATTTCACTGTCTCATATAATTTAGAAGGAGGTTTGAAGACATTAAATAAGCTATCAACAGCTATCAAGCACTTTGAAAGGCAACAAAAAGCAAAGAAAAGCCTTTTGAGTTCCATTTAAACTTGGCATAAAGACTGTAGTATGGATCACTCAGGAATGACTCAATTTTTAAACAAAATGTCAAGGCATGCCTATTATTTTATACCAGGATTATAATATTTAATATTGTTATCACAACAAGGAATAAACAATTGCTTAAGGAAATGGGTGATCCTCCTTCTCTGGGCTACAGTGCTGACTCAGTCATGCAGAACTAATTTCCTGGCGGTCTCTGAATGCACATAAAGCTGCTCTGTAGCTGCTGCTGACAATGAACTAGTGACTAGAAAAAGGAATCTTAAACACAGTCACATCTCCTGCCTGTTAAAATCCTGTTCACAAGGCACGCTGATCTAATACGCTGCACGACAGGAATAACGTCTTTTAAAAAATGGCCAGACAATATACAAAGTTTTTCATCTTCTATTTTTTTTCTGGAGTTGCTCAGCAACTGCATCATTTTTACATATTTTCCTCAGAGTACCAAAATTCTATTTTGGATATTTCTTTCCCATGAATAATTAAATGTTGAAAAGTTTGCCAGAAACATGATTTTATAGTAAATATTTGTCAACGACGTTTTAAGAGAAGCAATTGTTTAACTTTCCAATGAATATTTTAAAGAGAAACCTAAAACAATTTGAGTAGGCAGTTTTATAGGAAAAGTGTTAATATCTGATACTTAAAAAGGAATATAATACTTTAACCAATTTGTAACCTAATTACAATGGTTGACTTGCTAATTAGTGTTTATTGATTGAGCTGGATCAAGTGATGAGTTTTGTTTAAAGTGCAAATATTAGAAACAAAGTGATTTCTCAGACTTTATTACTTGGCAGAAAATAAAGCTGAAAGTTGCATCATACAGTACCCCATGTGGTTTTGCAGGGACTAATTGCACTGGCAGTCCCTGAGCGTCTAACAAGACTTTACTGCCCTCTAGTAGTAACAGGGTTTGCCAAGTTCATTTGGGAAATTAATTGTATTTAGAAATTTAGAGATATCTCTGAGAAAAATAGCATAAGCATTTAAGAGTAAAGATGCATTTAAATATGTTAAATTTGGAGATAACACTAGATAAAAAATTTGCCATCAATTTCATGTTAATTAATTGCTACTGTACAACCCAATTAGAATATAGTCATATTGAAGGAAGCATTTCAATCGCACTTTATTGACTTCATCATTGTGTAAGAGTGGTATTTTCTAAAAACATTAGTCTTTTTGGAAGAGCTAAATATGAAGAAGCAGGTTATTTTATGTATTAGAAGAACTGAAACTTGAGTTAGGACTTTTAAAATGCAATTAAATGATAAAAATAGATTTTATTAAATTCAAAGCAATCAGTTAACACTTTTTATCAATTGAATTGGTCATTACTTTTAAACATAAATACACAATACTTTCACTTAATTTTAAAATAATGGGATTCATTAACTTAATATATTCATTTTACTATTTTTCATCTCATACAATCCTAGAAACTAGGTTTTAGAAGGTGTTTTGTTGTCATTATTGTTGTTGTTTATCTTATCTAGATCAACAATTAGTTAAGGAGGATATAAAACTTTTAAAGTATTTGGAAATTTTAATGTAAATATTTATTATTAATGTCTAATTCTAGCCAGTATAATTTATGTTTCAGAAATTTAGAGATTTTTTAAAATCTGTGTGTTTTAGTTAAAGCCTAATTTCTGAAATTGTGTTATGGAAAATTGAACTGAAGACATTTTTATAATAGGTTATGAATTGAAATAATATACCAACTTTTTTCTTTATTATGTTGTAGGGTCCTCCTTGTTTTTATATATCTACTTGATCTGCCATAAAATGATTGCTATGTTATTCGTTCTTACACTCTAATTGCCTTTCTCTCAATTTCTCATATTTTCCTAAATTTTTCTATCTATATTTTCTTGTAGAAAATTCAACTTGTAGTGGATTCAACTTGTAGTGGCCTATACATGTTGTTTTCATTATACATTTAACCTTTATCAATATAAATGTTTTGTTTATTAAATTAATGCTTCTAATTTAAAAATTTTCCTGATGTTAATATTGTAATAGTTTGTTTATGCTTTAATTATGTATTTTGCTCATCTTTTTTCTTTTAAAAAATTATATCATTTTGATGATCTTGTAAGCAGTTGTAGTAGACACCTGTTACTGTTTTTGTTTGCCCTTCATCTCTTCCTTTTGTAAACACTCTCTCCTCTTGTGGAGGCCATTAATTGCATACTCCACCTTTGCTGCTACAAGAGTACACCTGTTATCCCACCTGTCTGGCAGCAGTGATTGGTTCAGCAAAAGATTAGTAGCCCTAATTAGGCCAATCTGAGTCTTTTTTTTGCTTTGAAACAGTCTTGCTCTGTAGCTCAGGCTAGAGCACAGTGCCTGTAATATCTCACTGTAGTCTCTATCTCATGGGCCCAAGAGATCCTTCTGCCTCAGCCTCTTAGCATCTAGGACTATAGGCATGTGCCATCACGTCCAACTAATTTTCTTGAATTTCTGTAGAGATGGCATCTTACTGTGTTGTTTAGGCTGGTCTCAAACTTCTGGCCTCAAACTATCCTCACACCTAAGCATCCCAAAATGCTGGGATTACAGGCATGAGCCACTGCACCTGACCCAGAATTCTTTCATCTCTGTGAATGTCTCATGACTAAGACTTTTAAATCCATAGCTGTGGTTTGTATATATCTTGGTCACTATTCAGAGACAGCTTTCTAGTAAATAAAGTGAACACTAGAAAACAAAGGCAAGATTTGGAGAAACATAAAAATTCCCAGGGCATCTATTGAACCACTGGATCCTATTATGTGTGAAACTAGTCATACAACTTATAATTGGCAATTATATGTGCCCATAGAGTTCATATATTGAGTTATGTTTCTGTTACTAGAGGTAAAAGAGTCCTGAACAAAAACATATAGTAATTTTAATATAAATATATATTAATATATGCTCAATCTTAGTCAAGAGTCCGTATTAAAAAATAAAAACAAACACCAGTTTTATTTTTACTTCTAATCTTATTTGCTTATTTAAATCATAATTTGTTTTACTTGTCTTTTATTTTAAATATCTAGACATTTAAAATTACATTTAGTTGATATGCCACAGTGGTTAAGTGCACACTTCCAGAAACCATCTAGCTTAGATACTAATTCTAGCTTCACCATTTCCTGGCTGTATGAAGATGCACAATTAGGTAATCTACTTCTGTACAAGGGTTCATATGACAATTAAGTTAGATTATACAGAAAGTGCTTAGAAATAGCACTCATATATTCATATAATATGTGAATATTCATATTAGGTAATGTTTTCCTTTCACTTTAATTTTCCTTACTAATAAACTATATTCTGTTTTTTAGTATCTTTCTGTAAAATGGAGATCCATAATCATCTTTTAAAAATTTACTAGAAGTGTACGTTCTTAGAAAAATCAAATATATTTCCATAGAAACCAGAGAATGGCTTAATTTTGTGTATTTTTTATGAGCAGAAAGATTTGCAAACAGATTTTCTTCCACAGGAACACTTTATTATTATTATTACTATACTTATGATCATTATTTTCTTTCATTTATTCCCCAGCACTACCTATAAATCATGAATTGGGTCTCCATTCTCTGCCCTCCATAGTCTTCATCTATTTTACTTTCATTTATATTTCATTTTCCCTGGATTCTTATGAAGCTTTTTCATTTTGTCACTGATTTACCTGGGCTTTAAAGGGCTACTTTTACTAGGGAACTTAAGTCTTATCTTTCATATTAGTTACTTTTTATTATTTTTCTACCTGTATTGGAATCTTTTTTTTTTCTGTACCCTAAGCTACTCAGTCCATTGTCATTTAGTTTTATTTTCAGTCTCATGTTTTACAGCAGGCACAACATCTTGTATTTGTCTTACAGTTGTGTAAAGTAGATACTTTCCAAATACTTAATCTGTTTCCTAGAAAAAAAATGATTAACAGTGTACAATTTGTTGGTTAATCTTTAAGAAAATTCTCCTGTTCTCTTATATTGTGAAATATTCTTTCCTTTTCTCTGCTGTTGCGAATTATTTATTCATCTGAAAGTAAGAAATTTCTATGTAGGATTGATGTTTGCCAACAGATAACATGTGAATACTCTTTTATGCCCATTAATGTTTGGCTTAGCATGGACAGAATTTTTCTCAGTTTTAAACTATATATAAACTATATGTGTATACACCCTGAAGAAATTCTCATCACCTTGCAGCATTTGTATAAAGCGGCTTTACTGGCTAGGGAGGGAGAGACATTTTCCTGCTCCCATTGCCTGATTATCTGTGTGAAAACAAAACAAAACAAAAAACATTTCTTTTTACTATATAATAAAATGTAATTTGTACTTCTTTGACCAAAATAAACATATAAAACATCACAGTTGACAAGTAAAGTGTATCCAAGACACTCTCACACTTTACGTTTAATACCAACTTTTTATTCTGAGATAACAAGAAATACAGCACTCTGCTTGCCTCCTATGCCTACTTGATTATTCAGTACAACCCTGGAAGCTATCTCTGATAGTTCTCCACATTTCTAGTACCTGAACCCACACTAATCCTGCCACTTCTCACAGCCATTCAAGCATCATAGATGAATTTGTCCCTCCATCAATGTAGAGGGGTAGTTTGCAAATGTGTTCTCCTATTCTGTGGGTTGTCTCTTCTCTTTGTTGATCCTTTTCATTGCTGTGCAGAAGATTTTTAGCTTGATGTGATCCCATTTTTCCATTTTTGCTTTTGTTGCCTGTGCTTGTGGGGTATTATTCAAGAAATCTTTGCTTAGTCCTATGTACTGGAGAGGTTTCCAAATGATTTCTTGTAGTAGTTTCATAGTTTGATATCTTAGGTTTAAGTCTTTAAACCACTTTGATTTGATTTTTGTATCTGGTAAGAGTTAAGGGTCCAATTTAATTCTTCTGTGTATGGATATCCAGTTTTCCCAGCATTATTTATTGAAGAGATTGTCCTTTCCCTAGTGTATGTTCTTGGCAAATGTTTTTGAAAATTAGTTCACAGTAGATATATGCGTTTATTTCTAGGTTCTTTATTCTGCTCCATTTGTCTATGTGTCTGTTTTTATGACAGCATCATGTTGTTTTGGCTACTGTAGCTCTGTAGTATAATTTAAAGTCAGGTAATGTGATTCCTCTAGTTTTGTTTTTTGCTCAGGACAGCTTTGGCTATTCTGGGTCCTTTGTGGCTCAACATAAATTTTAGAATTATATTTCTATTTCTGTGAAGAATGTCATTGGCATTTTGACAGGGATTGCACTGAATCTGTAAATAGCTTGGGGTAGTATGTACACTTTATCAATATTGATTAATCCAATCAATCAACATGGAATATCTTCCATTTGTGTCATCTTCGATTTCTTTTATCAATGTTTCATAGTTTTCATAGTAGCAATCTTTCACTTATTTGATTACGGTAATTCTGAAGTATTTAATTTTATTTGTGGCTCTTGTAAATGGGATTACTTTTCTGATTTCTTTTTCAGATTGTTTGCTGTTGACATACAGAAATGCTACTGATTTTTGCATATTGCCATTGTATCCTGCAACGCTACTGAATTTATCAGTTTTAGAAATTTTTTATGGAGTCTTTAGATTTTTCCAAATATAAGATTATATTATCTGCAAACAAGAATAATTCGACTTTTTAAAAATCCAGTTTGGATGTCCTTTATTTCTTTCTCTTGTCTTACTGCTCTAGCTAAGACTTCTAGTACTACGTTGAGTCATAGTGGTAAAAGTGGGCATCCTTGTCATGTTCCAAATCTTAGAAGAAGGCTTTCAGTTTTTCCCCTTTCAGTATGAAACTAGCTGTGGGTCTATTGTATATGGCTTTTATTATGTTGATGCATGTTCTTTCTATACCTAGTTTTTTAAGGATTTTTATCATGAAGGGATGTTGAATTTTATAAAATGCTTTTTCAGCATTAATTAAAATGATCACATTTTTGCCCTTCATTCTGTTTATATGATATATCACATTGATTGATTTATGCATTTTGAACAAACCTTGCCTCCCTGGGATAAATGCCACAGGATTATGATGAATTTTCTTTTTAATGTGTTGTTGAATTCAGTTTGCTAGTATTTCATTGAAGATTTTGGCATCAATGTTCATCACAGATGTTGGCCTGTAGTTTTATTTTTTTTAGTGCGTCTTTGTCTGGTTTTGGTATCAGTGTAATGCTGGCCTTTTAGAGTGAGTTTGGAATTATTCCCTCCTTCTCTGTCTTTCAGAATAGTTTGAGTAGGATTGGCATTACTTCTTTAAATGTGTGATAAAATTCAGCAGTGAAATAATCAGGTCCTGGTCTTTTCTTTGCTGGGAGACTTTTATTATGGCTTCGATCTCATTACTTGTTATTGATCTATTCAGGTTTTGGCTTTTGTCATTGTTCAATCTTCGTAGGTTGTATGTATTCATGGATTTATCCGTTTCTTCTAGGTTTTCCAGTTTAGTGGGATCTATTTGTTCATTGGTTTTAGTGTTTTCGCTTTCATCTCTGATTTTATTTGGGTCTTCTCTATATTTTTCTTAGTTATTTTGGCTAAAAGTTTATCTTTTTTTATCTTTTAAGTAAAGCAACTTTTTGTTTCATTTGTGGTGTTGTCTTCATTTTAATTTCATTTATTTCTGCTGTGATCTTTATTTTACTACCGTGGGGTTTGTTTTGCTCTTGATTTTCTAATTCTTTAAGATGCATCATCAGGTTGTTTATTTGAGGTTTTCTCCTTTTTAGACATAGGTACTTATAAACTTTCCTCTTAGTACTGCTCTCAATGTACCCCATAGGTTTTGATATGTTGTATTTTCATTATTATTTGTTTCAAGAAACTTTTAAATTTGCTTTATAATTTCTTCTTTGACATACTGGTCTTTCGGGAGCATGTTATTTAATTTCCTCGTGTTTATATGGTTTTAATTTTTTAAATTTATTATTTCTTTTTTATTTTTTTAATTTTTTAAAAATTATAGTTTAAGTTCTGGGGTGCATGTGCAGAACGTGCTGTTTTGTTACATAGGTATACACGTGCTATGGTGGTTTGCTGCACCCATCAACCTGCCACCTATATTAGGTATTTCTCCCAATGCTATCTTTCCCCTAACCCCCACCCCCCGACAGGCCCCGGTGTGTGACAGTCCCCTCCCTGCATCCATGTGCTCTCATTGTTCAACTCCCACCCATGAGTGAGAACATGTGGTGTTTGCTTTTCTGTTCCTGTGATTGTTTGCTGAGAATGATGGTTTCCAGCTTCACCCATGTCCCTGCAAAGGACATGAACTCATCATTTTTTATGGCTGCATAGTATTCCATAGTGTGTATGTGCCACATTTACTTTATCCAGTCTATCATTGATGGACATTTGGGTTGGTTCCAAGTCTTTGCTATTGTGAATAGTGCCACAATAAACATATGTGTGCACGTGTCTTTATAACAGAATGATTTATAAGTCCTTTGGGTATATATACTTAGTAATGGGATTGCTGGGTCAAATGGTATTTCTATTTCTGGATTCTTGAGGGATCGCCACACTGTCTTCCACAATGGTTGACCTAATTTACACTCCCACCAACAGTGTAAAAGCATTCCTATTTCTCCACATCCTCTTCAGCATCTGTTGTTTCCTGACTTTTTAATGATCACCATTCTAACCAGTGTGAGATGGTATCTCATTGTGGTTTTGATTTGCATTTCTCTAATGACCAGTGATAATGGTCATTTTTTCATATGTTTGTTGGCTGCAAAAATGTCTTCTTCTGAGAAGTGTCTGTCCATATCTTTGCCCACTTTTTGATGAGGTTGTTTTTTTTCTTGTAAATTTGTTTAAGTTCTTTGTAGATTCTGGATATTAGCCCTTTATCAGGTGGATAAATTGCAAAATTTTCTCCCATTCTGTTGGTTGCCTGTTCCCCCTGATGATAGTTTCTTTTGCTGTGCAGAAGCTCTTTAGTTTAATTAGATCCCATTTGTCAATTTTGGCTTTGGTTGTCATTGCTTTTGGTGTTTTAGTTGTGAAGTCTTTGCCCATGCCTATGTCCTGAATGATATTGCCTAGATTTTCTTCCAGGATTTTTATGGTTTTAGGTCTTACATTTAAGTCTTTAATCCATTTTGAGTTAATTTTTGTATAAGGTTAAGGAGGAGGTCCAGTTTCAGTTTTCTGCTTATGGCTAGCCAGTTTTCCCAACACCATTTATTAAATAGGAAATCCTTTCCCCATTGCTTGTTTTTGTCAGGTTTGTCAAAGATCAGATGGTTTCAGATGTGTGGTGTTATTTCTGAGGCCCCTGTTCTGTTCCATTGGTCTATATATCTGTTTTGGTACCAGTGTCATGCTGTTTTGGTTATAGTTTTCAAAGTTCCTCTTGTTATTGATTTCTAGTTTTAGTCCATTGTGATCCGAGATGATACATGATATTATTTCAACTGTTTTGAAGTTTTTAAGACTTTTTTGGTGGCCTAATACATGGTCTATCCTTGAGAATTTTCCAAGTGCTGAGGAAAAGAAAGTGTTTTCTACAGCCATTGTATGAAATGTTCTCTTAATATCTATTAGGCCCATTTAGTCTATAGTGCAGATTAAGTTTGATATTTCTTTGTTGACTCTCTGTCTGAATGATCTGTCCAATGTTGAGAGGGGAATGTTGAAGTCTCTAGCTTTCATTGTGTTGGGGTCTGTCTCACTCTTCAGTTTTAATAATATTTACTTAATATATCTGGCTGCTCCAGGGTTGGGTGCATATATAATTGTTGTATCCTGTTGCTGAATTTACTACTTTATCATTATATAACCAACTTATTTGTCTCTTCTTATACTTTTTTGTCTTGAAATCTACTTTTTCTGATATAAATATAGCTACTCTGACTCTCTCTTGGTTTCTATTTGCATGGTATATCTTTTTCCATCCCTTTATTTTCCATCCATGTGTGCCTTTATGGATGAAGTGTGTTTCTTCTAGGCAAGAAAACATTGACTCTTGTTTTTCTATATATTCAGCCCTTCTATGTTTTTTGATTGAAGAATTTAGTCCATTTACATTCAACTTTATTATTGAAAAGTAGACTTATTGCTGCCATTTTGTTATTTGTTTCCTGGTTATTTTGTGATCTTCTCTTCCTTTTTTCCTTCCTTCCTGTCTTCTTTTTATTGAATATGATTTTCTCTGGTGGCATGTTTTAATTTCTTGCTTTTTCTTTTTTGTATATCTTTTCTACATTTTTTAATATGAGGTTACCATGATGCTTGCAAATAATATAATTCCTTATTTTAAACTAATGACAACTTAACACTGATTGCATAAGAAAACAAGCAAAGAGAAAACTAATTAAAACTGTACAGTTTAATTTCTTGTCCCTGCATTTTTAACTTCTTGTCATTCCTATTTATATCTTACTCTACTGTTCATGACTTGAAAAGTTGTTGTAGTTATTTATCTTTGGTCACTTATCTTTTAGTTTTTCTACACAAGATATGAGTAGTTTACACACCACAATTAGAGTGTTATAATATTCTGTTTTTTTCTGCATATTTACTATTACCAGTGAGTTTTGTACTGTCAGATTTTTTTTTCTGCTCTTTAACATCATTTTCTTTCAGATTAAAATATTCCCTTTAGCCTTTCTTGTAGGACAGGCCTGGTGTTAATGAAATCCATCAGCTTTTGTTTGTCTGAGAAAATCTTTATTTCCCCATCATGTTTTAAAGATAATTTCACTGGATATACTATTCTAGGGTAAAAGATTTTTTTTCCCCTTCACTTTAAGTATTTTATGTCACTCTTTCCTGGCCTGTAAGGTTTCCATTGAAAAGTCTGCTGCCAGACATAGTGGAGTTCTATTGTGTAGTATTTGTTTCTTTTCTTTTGCTGCTTTTAGGATCCTTTCTTTATCCTTGACCACTGGCATTTTAATTATTAAATGTCGCAAGGTAATTTTATTTGGGTTAAATTTCCTTGGTGGTCTATTAACCACCTGAAATATTTTTGATAACTCATACTATCATCCAGCCTTTAACAATTTTTTTCCCTTATGGCAGTCATTCATTGTCATATCCTGAAATTTCACTGATGAACAAGAACATGTCCTTTTCATCAACAAACATATATTTGAATGAAGAAACAGTTAAGTAAATGAGTAACTAAAATTTGGTATACTCAGTTCTGTGTTAGAATTAAGTTCAAGATGGACTTATGAAACCATCTTACGTAGTTTAAAGGGCATGATTAAGTTTTCTTGAGGGAGTTATGTTTACCCTAAACCTGAATGATGAGCATTTGAGGATATAAAAGGAATAGCATTTCAAGTCTGAGTTATTCAAAGTTGCAATATCTGTATATATGGAAAAAGTATCCAAGATCAAAGAGTTAAGTGCTGATATTTTGGTTAAGAGAGGCAAATCTGCATATGATCATAAAGGGTATTAGCCCTGTGGAAAAGAACTTCTGCTACTGACTCATGGAACTATTTAAAAACTTTTAAATAAAGATACAGCACTATAAATGTTTGATTTTAAAAAAATCTATCTGAATGTAGTATGGTAAACATATTTCTGAGGTCTAGGCTAAAAAGCAAGAACATCATTTATAGCAGCAATCCAGAGAAACTTTTATGTGGGACAAAATAATCATTAATGAAGATCAAGTCAAGACTGTGCCTTCAAGGAATATTAAATAAATGGAATGGACATGACCTGGCAATTGGCTGAATATAAAGAAGCGTGAGAAAGATGCCACAAGAATGAACCCCCAGGGCTTGACTTGCACAGTGTGTAGACGCCAGTGACTTGCAGAGACAGGGATTTCTGGTATTGAAACAGATTTGGAGGAAAATATCATAGGCTCAATTTCAGTCACTTTGAATATGAAGGGTATGTAATTCCTTCTAGAGGAGTTATGAAATACTAGAATTTATGAGCTTGCATTTTCAGGAGAGATTTTTTACAAGGGATTCAAATTTGTGTTTAATCAGCTTATAGGTAAAACTGAAGACATTAAAATGGGTAAAAAGACCTAAAATTCTGATTTCTTATAATGAGCAAAGAGTTCTTTGCAGGTCATGAATAAATTTTTAGAGACCAAAAATTCCCTTTTGAAAAACAAAATAACACAGAATACAAGCATGCAATTAAGGTAAATTATATTTCACAAATCTTTTGTCTCAATAATACATAAATACATGTATGTATTTTTCTAGGTTACAATATAGAATGGATTTTTTACTGTAGGTCACAGTAAAAAATGTTTTATTCTATTGACCTAGAGAGAATGTATGGAATAACCAGAGGCAGACTTATTTATGATCATAAGAACTGCAATATTTATAGGTGTAGTAGTAAAGGAGCCAGTGAAGGAGATGAAGAAGAAATAGCCAGAGATAGGGAGGTCCTGTCTTAAGGTAATATAGTCACACAGAATGTGTGAACATTTCTGCCTCCTGTTGAGTGCTTAAGTAAGAAACATCAAAAATTAACTTGTAGAGCATAGTAATAAGCAAACACTACTAGCTTCAGTGTCCTTTTTGTTATTCAAGAGAGACACTGTCACCATCAGTACAACAATCCCAGCAACCTCCAGTATTCATTTAATAGCCTCTTAACTGTTCTCCTCAAGAGTATTTTTTTTTTTTTTTTGAGATGGAGTCTTGCTCTGTCGCCCAGGCTGGAGTGCAGTGGCGCAATCTCGGCTCACTGCAACCTTCGCCTCCTGGGTTCAAGTGATTCTCATGCCTCAGCCTCCCGAACAGCTGGGACTACAGGTGTGTAACACCATGTCCGGCTAATTTTTGTATTTTTAGTAGAGATGGAGTTTGACCATATTGACCAGGCTAGTTTCGAACTCCTGACCTCGTGATCCACCCGCCTCAGCTTCCCAAAGTGCTGGGATTACGGGCGTGAGCCACTGCACACGGCCAAGAGTATTTTTATATTCCTCTAAGTTCTATCCATGATGCACCAAAAATAATTCTTTTAAATCAAAATGCACATCTGATTCACTTATCATACTCATGTTGATCTTGTGTAAAAATTCTGATTGCTTTTTTTAATCATTTTTTCATTTGTGAATTATCTACATGGTTATCATTACTCTAAGTATTTCCATTTTACAAAATTTCAGAAACAACCCTTTTAAAAATCTGTAACCTCTTTTTAAAAATTTAGTTTTACTTTTACTTGACAAATTATAATTTTATGTATCTATGGGGTACAATATGATATTTTGATACTTATATACAATGTAAAATTATTAACTCAAGCTAATTAATATATACATTACCTCAGATATTTATAATTTTTGTGGTAAAAACATTTAAAATGTACTCTTAGCAATTTTGAAGTATGTGATACATTATTAACTATAGTCACCATGCTGTGCAATAATAGATCAACAGAAATTATTCCTCCTAACTTTAACTTTGTACCCTTTGACCAATATCTCATTATTCCCTACCACTCCCACCCTCACCCTAACCTCTGGTCACCACCATTCCTGTCTACATTTATGAATTCAACTTTTTCTGATTCTACACATAAGTGAGATCGTGCAGCCTTTCTGTTCCTGGCTTGTTTCAGTTAGCATATCATTCCACTTAAAAAAATAATTATGTACTGACAATGTATTCCATATTATTACATATTTTCCAAAAGCAAGAGTTTTCTGATCCCATAACATTGCAGCATATGCACATATACTTATTTCATTATGTAATTATTTAGAGATTTTTAAGTTGTGCCAGTTTACTAGCATTTACAATACAATTGTACAAACATTCTTGTATATATGTTATTTTACATATCTGATTATATATTTAAAAGAGTCATAGAAATTATATAATATGATTTATTTAGTGTAGAACCATATACATTAAATTATTTCTATATAGGATAAGAAATTATTTCTGATTCTTAAAAAATTAAAAATATTGATAAATTATTTTTTGAAAAGTTGTACCAATTTAAAGTCTCATCAATAATACATAGGTATCATGTGTATTCCTGATTTTCTCTGTTTCTACATTTAAAACCTCTCCCATCACAGTTCTTACCTGTGGTTTCTCTTTTTCACTTATTAAAAATATAGTCATTAACCTACTTGAGTTTCTCAAGTATATAAATAAGTTTTTAAAAACATGTAAACTTTTATTGGCAATAAGGTGTAAAACTATTTTTTTTATTCATTGCCCAACTACTTAAATGAGTAAACTACATTCATTTCCTATTATTCAATGCAGTCTACTATCTACCCCATCACACTATTGAAACAGCATTCATAAAGATCACGTGACAATGACTTCTTAATTCCAAATCAATGGCTTATTTTCAGCCTTCAATTTATCATTTTATTTAATGCTTCCAACTCATGAGCTAAGGCCTGTTTCTTCAGGTTGAAATTCTCTTCTCTGTTGTATTTAGTGATACCATTGCAACTAACTCACAATTTTCTCCAGGTTTCTATATTCACCTTACCAATTTTCCACTATCCCTTTACCTGACAGTTCACAATATTGAAAACTCGACATAATCCAAAAACAATTGTTTTATAACCTACTTCCATTCTTACTCCTCACCCTTAAACCTTCTTCTCCTTTTATATTTTCCTAAATTTAATTATAAAGTTTGTCCACCTCTGCCTGGTTTCCTTTGCTTTTATCAGCTCTCTCTTCTTAGAACTGAACCCAGTGACTAATCCCATTTCAGATTCTGCCACATTCCTCCTTGTAAATTCATTTTAATCCAGGCAAGGAAACTTGTGGGAGTTCAGTAAGGCTGGTGGGAAAAATTTTAGTTATAGAGAATATACACAAACTCTTTTGGAAGGCCTGGCATTTTGTTACATACTGTACTTGGCTGAAGGCAGCCTTGCCCCTTTAGTTAAATAAATTAGAGTAAAAACAAAGGAATGTGGGGAGTTTATCTAACTACAACCTTTGTTCTACCGTGGGTGCTTTTTTTTTTTTTTGAGGTGGAGTCTCACGCTGTCGCCCACGCTGGAGTGCAGTGGTGCACTCTCGGCTCACTGGAAGCTCCGCCTCCTGGATTCACTTCATTATCCTGCCTCAGCCTCCGAGTAGCTGGGACTACAGGTGCCTGCCACCATGCCTGGCTAATTTTTTTGTATTTTTAGTAGAGATGGGGTTTCACCGTGTTAGGCACGATGGTCTCGAACTCCTGACCTTGTCATCCGCCCGCCTTGGCCTCCCAAATTACTGGGAATACAGGCGTGAGCCACTGTGCCCGGCCACTTAATTGCTTTCTACTCAGGAAGTTCGCAGTGTCAATTACCCTCTAGTGGTGTTGACTCAAGCCTTTGTCAATTAATCTTTACTGAATAAATGCAAGTCTCACTGGCTGGTGGGGACCACAGTCACAACTGTTTACAGCACTCTGCTTGGAGTCTGTAAATGGCCCGGACGCTCAGCCGGACTGGCAAAGCAGAGTATCTGTATGTCAGTGTATGTTATTCATCTGTCGTTGGGTCAGGGTATGTAGGACAGACCCCTGCAGAAACTATTAACTTCCCAAACACATTCAGGAAGTTCAAAATTAAATTCTTCCCTCATATCTGGAATCCAGAGTGATAGGCATTCTTTTACCCAAGATTCTCTGTTAAACAGTCTGCGTTGATCTTGTTCACAGCCTTAGGAATTAAGGTTTGCCCAGAATCTAGATTGTCTAGGTTCCCATGCAATAACTTCTATTCTATTTCACCATTTTCACTACATCCATAGAAACTTTCTTAATCGTAAATTCTGGCACATCACTCATCTGTTTAAAAACTTTATATAATTCTCAATTTCTTATTTTCCATGCAGAATTAAGAAGCTTAACAACTTGATAGAGTCCTTAATCCACTTAGTAGTCTCACTCTCAAGACAACTATTTCAGGTAGCTAACAGAGAGTAGTAATTTTTGACATATTGTTGGTTTGGATATTGTTAATACCTATAACAGGCATTTCTAGAAACGCTATATTATCAAGAAGTTGTTGTTTCACTAAGTTTTTGACATAGTAGATATATGAGGTTGGTGCAAAAGTATTGCAGTTTTTGCCATTACAAGTATTACTATATCAGAAACTTGGGATCTTGCAATGAGGTTGCACTGGACATGCTCTGATAAGTATGCCTTGGGTGGGGACATCATTAGTCCAATGGCAGGGAAGTTTAGACTGACAGGTACACACTGATATTTAAAGTATATGATGAGAGCATGTGAATATCTCGTCATAGAGTTGACATTAGGAGGTCAGAGAAGCAGGGAGGGGCCCAGATCAGCCACTAGAGGTAATATAACTGTACCTATAGAGAGAGGGGGAGGCATTGATCACGGAAAAGAGGTATAACTTTCCAAAGCAAAGCTGAGTATCACTCATGAATTAAAAATAGGAAGCACAGCAGAGACCTAATTAGTTGGGAAATATACTGTTATGACAGTAAAGAAGCAGAATCTGATGAAACTCTGTGGGCCAGGGCTTGTGATTCAATTTGACCTTTGCAAGTCATCATGTCCATGGGGTGGAGAAGAAATCTAATGAGAACTGTTAAAAGTCGGCTTTGTAGGAGATTAATGACTAGAGCCTAATGTATAAAAATCGGCTTGTTCTAGACACTACTTTTCCCTTGGAGGAATATCAACCTCTTAAAAAATAGTCAATTCTCTTTCAGTTTGTGAAACATAAAAAGTTTGTAACAGTGAGACCACAATGCAAGGTGAATCTAACCATGTAATAATTAAGTCTTAATTTCTATGGTATTGAAGTAAACATATACATAAATGTTCTATTAAAACTTTTTTGGAAATCAAACTTATATGAGTATAATTCTCTCAAAGTTGTAAAAATGTTATCTGGAATTTTTCACTTTATAATAATGGCTTGGTATATTTTTATTGTTGACAAAGTATAAACTGTAAAGTTGTATCTTATCTAAACAAACATGATGATTATTCAAGACGAGTTAATCCAGGGATTATTTAAAGCAAAAGGGGAACTATTTAATTGAGATAAATTTTATTGCACATTTTACAAAGCACTTTACATGTTATCCTTTAAGGACCAGGATCACCTCTTCTTCAATTGCTAAGTTTTTTTTAACTCATGGACTTTATCTCCTAAATCATCCACTACTGATTACATATTTAAAAGGACATGTTCACACTTCTTATGGCTACTCAAATACTGACCACAACTTGCTAAGGCATATTTATTACACCTAACGAAACAATATGTGTATAAGTAAAAAATATGTCTTCAACAGTACAGTAAACATTTATATTTTAAAGTTATAGGGAACTGGAAATAGTTAAACATATTCCTGTTGTTTATATATTTGTTTACATCAAGTAACTGGTTTTTAAAACTCTGACACTTATATTCATATAAGCAATGTAGAGATAATTGTAATACGGGAAATGTGATTTTTTATTAGATATAAACATCAATCTGTGATATGTATTTTATGCTGCCAGAGGAAAAGAAAAGCACACTTAAGGCAAAGGTAAGTGACAAATAAAAAAACTGTATGAAAATACAAAAGAGTGTATCTAATACATTATAAATTTCCAGTTTAAGCTTTTCTTAATACCTAAAGACTTAAGTTCTATTGCACAAGAAGGATAGTAGTTCGAGATCATAAACAAAATGAAAATGTTTCTGTGGACAGAATTGCTTGAGACTTTATACAAGCTTTACAAAGGGAGTATATTAGATCAAGCGTTCAGGAAAGTCCATAAATATTTTAATACATCAATTTTTCATTGATTTAACAATCATAGGTAAATTCACTCATTAATGAATGATTATTAGCACCAGAATCCTGAAAAATTCAAAGTGTATTTGTTTCCTGTGGCTGTCCTAACACAGTATCACACAAATTGGCTTAAAACAACAGTAATTGATTCTCTTATGGTTCTGGAGACTAGAAGTTCAAAATGTAGATGTTGACAGGGCCATGCTCTTTCTGAAGGCTTTAGGGGAGAAGTCTTTTTCCCCTTTCTCCTAGCTTCTGGTGGTTGCAGGCAATCATAGCCTTTCCTTGGCTTGTAGCTGTATCATTCCAAACTCTGTCTTCACTTGGTTGTCTTGCTTGTGTGTCTCTTTTTCCTTTTTTAGAAGGATAGCAGTCGTAATGGATTAAGGGCCTACCTTATTTCAGTATGACTTCATGTAAGTTAATTAATTATATCTGCAATGAACCTATCTTCAAATAAGGTAGCATTCTGAGATTCCAGGAAGGACATAAAATTTTTGGTAGATAATATTCAATCTAGTACACTAAGCAATGTTTATCATTTTTACAACTCATATTCTTAGGAAAAATACCTTGAATTGAAGACCATATGATTAAATGTCAGGAGATTTTGCTCCTACTTTTAAGTTACAGTAAGCCTATTTGTTCTAAAATTTATTGAAAGCTTAAATATTGAGATGGTATTTTATTCAATATGGGCTGAAGAGTGTGTAAAATCATTGATATAAATGGATGGAGCCATTTACTGTAATTGCCTTTATATGTTTGATAAAAGAGAAATACAACCTGGGCAAAAGGATGGTTGAAGTGTTAATGGGGTTAATCAGTGTGCTGATGGGAATAAGAGCTGAGGTAGAACAGTTGTAAAGCAATAAGCCCTTAGGGGCAGCTATTTGAAAAATCTCACTTCTTCAAAAATTCATGTGAGGTGTCATTGAGGTTAAGAAATTCAGGTACATGTCAAGGTAACTAACATTATTCATTCATTATTTAATAAATATTTATTGAATGTCGAATGTATGTACAGCTTCATGTAAGTACTACGCAGGTCAGAAAGAAGTACAGATACAATTTATATTTATGGCATAAAACCTTGAAAGAAACATTTGCACCCTAGAGTCTCCAGTGATAGCAACCTAAATTATGAAGTGATTATAATGCCTTCATAGTTCTATGACTTTTAAAGCAGTTTTAAAAATTGCATATAAAAACATAAAATATGAAATGACAGTAGAGAACAGTATGACATTCAGTCTCATAACTTTTAATTATGTCTGTTAGTTCAAAAGTGGAATATTTAAACATTTGTAATAATTATATATTGAATTAGTGTAGAATTTTAGAGTGAATTGTACTGTGTTCTGCTGTCATTCTTTCTTCTAAATGTACTTGTGAAAGCACTGAGAACAACTTCTCACTGTCATGAAAACACACTTTTTATTTAATTTCTATAGTTCTCACTGAGGGAATTTAGATTTTAGTATTGTATTTGTATTGATAAAATGGTCATATAATTGTTTAAGAGGTCAGTGGGTTTTCTTATTTTATGCTACTTCTTTCAGGTAATGAAAACAGTTTTGAAGTTATATTGGTTATTTCAGATGTTCAAACTAGTACTTAGCAATTTCTTACTTCAGTCCTTGACTTAAAAGAATCACCCATTTTGCCAATCTGACAAATTTTGGAAAAGTTCAAAGACAATTAGTCTACAAATGATAGAACAGCATGGTGGTGATTTTTTTTTTCCTTTTCTTACACAATTTGAGGTGGCATCCCTATGAATGGCATTGTGTTGGGTAATCAAATAGTGTAGTTTACATTAAAATTGGCCATACCAATAGCAAACTTAATTTCTTATAAGTTCATGGTGAAGAAAACATTCTGATATCCTCTATTTATCATGTTACTTAACTGAAGTGAGAATATAGTACATAGTATTTTTAAAAAACAAAACTGGGTGTTATTTTAATGCTAATTTATTTATTTATTAAGTTAGTCATTCAATTAAGTATTTATTGATTACCTATTTTGAGGCAGGCACTGTTCTGTATACTTGGGGGAAAAAAAGACAAAATTCCTATGCCTAAGGAGCTTACATTCCAGCATCAGCAAGACAACGAACAATAAGTATAATAAATAAAATGAGAAAGTTTATAAAACGATTAAAAATGTTATAGAAAAGAAAAATTAGAGTAGGGCAAGAGATATTGGGCATGGTAGCTTTGTGGGTGTTTGTTTTATTAAATAATCTGGGCAGATTTCATTGAGAATATAAGATTTGAACAAAGACTTGGAAAATCTATCTGGAGGAAGAGTAGTCCAGATAGAGCAGATAATTAGAGCAAAAAATATGAGGTTTTTGAGGTGAGCTAGAAGGCCAGTGTAGCTGGGATATAATGAGTGAAGGAGAGAATAGTGGGAGAGGAGATCAGATAAGTAGTGAGAGATTTAGATTAATCCACCAGGTAGGTCATTGTAAAGATAATTATTTTTACTCTAAGTGAAATGGAGAAGCATTATATGACCTTGATACCCATCAAATCATTACTACCATAAATGGAAAAAGCATTTGCATCACCCTGAAAACTTCATTGCACCCCTGAGTAATATATCCTTCATTCCTCATCCAACCTAAATAATAATTTGCTTTAGGTCATTATAGATTACCTCAAATTTCTAGAATGTTAATAATGGAATTATTGAATATGCATTTCTTTTTTGAGAGTAGCTATGGTTTGAATGTGTCCCCTCTGAAATTCAATTGTTGTCGATGTGATAATATTAAGATGTGTAGCATTTAAAAGGTAATTTGGCCATCAGGGCTCCTCCCTCACGAAAGAGATTGTGTTCCTTATAAAAAAGGCTTTATAGTAGCATTCAGTGTGATTGCCCTTCTACCTTCTGCTATGTGAGGAAGCAGCAAGAGGGCTCTCATGAGATGCTACCACCTTGATCTTGGGCTACCCAGCCTTCAGAACTATGAGAAATAAATTTCTGTTCTTTATAAATTACACAGTCTCAGGTAGTTTGTAATTATAGCACAAAATGAACTAAATCAAGGGGTAAAGAGTCTGGTTTCTTTCACACAGTGTACTTATTTCAAGTTTTGTCTATCTTGTGGCATACATGGATGTTTCATTCCTTTACATTACTGAGTAGTAGTCCATTGTAAAGGCATAACACAATACTTTTTATAATTCACCTTTTGATGGATATTTGGTTTGTTTTTAGGTTTTGACTATTCGAAATAAAGATGCTATGAACATTTACATACAATGTTTTCTGTAGATATATGCTTTCTCTTTGTAGATATTTGGAATTAAATAAATGGCTCATTTGCTAACTTTTATTTTTAATAAAGTTTTAATTTTAGAATGTTTTTAGATTTACAGAAAAGTTAAAAAGATAGGAGGGAGTGTTCCTGAATACTCTGTACTCAAGAACCCCTATTGTTCACATCTTATATTATTATGATTCATATGCCACGAAGGAACAAATGTTGATATGTTGTTATTCACTAAAGTAAATATTTCTTTTCATATTTTTAAACCTTTTGCCTAGTATCATTATTCTGTTCCAGAATCCCATCCAGGATATTACTTTACATATAGTTATCATGTCACTTTAAGCTCCTGTAGACTGTGACCATTTCTCAGACTTTTCTTATTTTTGATGATCTGGATAGTTTTGAGGTGTACTGTTTAGGTTTTTTTTTTTTTGTAGAATGTCCTTAAATTTGGGTTTGTCTGGTGTTTTATTCATAATTAGGTTGGAGCCATGTTCTCAGGAAGATTGCAGAACTAAAGTGCAATTCTCATCACATCATACCAAGGCTATATACTATAAATGTAACTTATCACCGACTGATGACGTAAGGCTTGATTACATGGCTGGGGTAGTGTCTATCCGAGTTTCCCACTATAAAGTTACAATTTTTCCTGATATGGTAACTTTTAAAGAAACTGTTAAACTGTTTTTCAAAGTGGTTGTAACATGTTACACTCCCTGCATGAGAGTTCCAGTTTCTTTATATAACTGTTGATACTTGGTATGATAAAACTTTACACCATTTTAGTGGGTAGGTAGTGGTTTCTCATTGTGGTCTTCATTTGTATTTTCCTAATGACAAATGATATTTAGCCTCTTTGAAAACTTTTTTTTTTTCAAATCTCTTGTCAATTGTAAAATAAGGTTATTTGCCTTATAATTGAGTTGCAAGCCTTCTTTGTATATTCTGGATGTAAGTCCTCTATCAGATATATGTTTATGATATTTTCTCAACACCATTTATTAACTAGGGAATCCTTTCCCCATTGCTTGTTTTTGTCAGGTTTGTCAAACATCAGATGGTTATAGATATGTGGCGTAATTTCTGACGCCAGTATGATGTTCCATTGGTCTATATGACTGTTTTGGCACCAATACCATGCTGTTTTGGTTACTGTAGCCTTGTAGCATAGTTTGAAGTCAGGTAGCATGATGCCTCCAGCTTTGTTCTTTTTGCTTAGGATTGTCTTGGCTATACAGGCTCTTTTTTGGTTCCATATGAAATTTAAAGTAGTTTTTTTCTAATTCTGTGAAGAAAGTCAATGGTAGCTTGATGGAGATAGCATTAAATCTATAACTTACTTTGGGCAGTATGGCCATTTTCACGATGTTGATTCTTCCTATCCATGAGCATGGAATGTTTTTCCATTTGTTTGTGTCCTCTCTCATTTCCTTGAGCAGTTTGTAGTTCTCCTTGAATAGGTGCTTCACATCCCTTGTAAGTTGTATTCCTATCTATTTTATTCTCTTTGTAGCAATTGTGAATGGGAGTTCACTCATGATTTGGCTCTCTGTTTGTCTATTATTGGTGTATAAGAATGCTTGTGATTCTTGCACATTGATTTTGTATCCTGAGACTTTGCTGAAGTTGCTTACAAGCATAAGGAGATTTTAGGCTGAGACAATGGGGTTTTCAAATATACAATGATGTCATCTGCAAACAGAGACAAAAATTTGACTGCCTCTCTTCTTATTTGAATACCCTTTATTTCTTTCTCTTGCCTGATTGCCCTGGCCAGAACTTCTAATACTATGTTGAATAGGAGTGGTGAGAGAGGGCATCCCTTGTGCCGGTTTTCAAAGGGAATGCTTCCAGTTTTGCACATTCATTATGATATTGGCTGTGGGTTTGTCATAAATAGTTCTTATTATTTCGGGATACCTTCCATCAATACCTAGTTTATTGAGAGTTTTTAGCATGAAAGCATGTTGAATTTTATCGAAGGCCTTTTCTGCATCTATTGAGATAATTATGTGGCTTTTGTCATTGGTTCTGTTTATGTGATGGATTATGTTTATTTGTTTGCATACGTTGAACCAGCCTTGCATCACAGAGATGAAGCCAACTTGATTGTGGTGGATAAGCTTTTTGATGTGCTGCTGGATTTGTTTGCCAGTATTTTATCGAGGATTTTTGCATCAATGTTCATCAGGGATATTGGCCTGAAATTTTCTTTTTTTATTGTGTCTCTGCCAGGTTTTGGTATCAGGGTGATGCTGGCCTCACAAAATGAGTTAGGGAGGAGTCCCTCTTTTTCTATTGTTTGGAATAGCTTCAGAAGGAATGGTAGCAGCTCCTCTTTGTACATCTGGTAGAATTCGGCTGTGAATCCGTCCGGTCCTGGGTTTTTTGGTTGGTAGGTTGTTAATTACTGCCTCAATTTCAGAATTGTTATTCCTCTATTCAGGGATTCCATGCAGAAAATTGAAACTGGACCCGTTCCTTACACCTTATACAAAAATTAACTCAAGATGGATTAAAGACTTCAACGTAAGACCTGAAACCATAAAAACCCTGGAGGAAAATCTAGGCAATACCATTCAGGACATAGGCATGGGCAACAACTTCATGACTAAAACACCAAAAGTAATGGCAACAAAAGCCAAAATTGACAAATGGGATTTAATTAAACTAAAGAGCTTCTGCACAGCAAAATAAACTAACATCAGAGTGAATAGGCAATGTATAGAATGGGAGAAAATTTTTGAAATCTATCCATCGGACAAAGGGGCAATATCCAGAATCTACAAGGAACTTAAACAAATTTACAAGAAAAAAAACAACCAACCACATCAAATAGTGGGCAAAGGATATGAACAGACACTTCTCAAAGAGGACATTTATGTGGCAAAGAAACATGAAAAAAAACTCATCATCACTGGTCATTAGAGAAATACAAATCAAAACCACGATGAGATACCCTCTCACTCCAGTTAGAATGATGATCATTAAAAAGTCAGGAAACAACAGACCCTGGAGAGGATGTGGAAAAATCAGAATGCTTTTATACTGTTCGTGGGAGTGT
The DNA here is from genome assembly GCF_000001405.40 of Homo sapiens. NCBI lineage: Eukaryota > Metazoa > Chordata > Mammalia > Primates > Hominidae > Homo > Homo sapiens. The sequence continues at coordinate 68,537,009 of NC_000006.12, read as the reverse complement.
AAATTAGTTGAACCATTGTGGAAGACAGTGTGGCGATTCCTCAAAGATCTAGAACAGAAATACCATTTGACCCAGCAATCCCATTACTAGGTATATACCCAAAGGATTATAAATCATTCTACTATAAAGATACATGCACATGTACATTAATTGAGGCACTCTTCACAACAGCAAAGACTTGGAACCAACCCAAATGTTCATCAATGGTATACTGGATAAAGAAAATGTGGTATATATTCACCATGGAATACAATGCAGCCACAAAAAATGATGAGTTTATGTCCTTTTCAGGGACATGGATGAAGCTGGAAATCATCATTCTCAGCAAACTCACACAGGAACAGAAAACAAAACACCGCATGTTCTCACTCATAAGGGGAGTTCAACAATAAGAACACATGGACACAGGCATGGGAACATCACACACCAGGGCCTGTCTGGGGATGGGGGGCTAGGGGAGGCATAGCATTAGAAGAAATATGTAATGTAGATGATGGGTTGATGTGTGCAGCAAACCACCATGGCACGTGTATACCTATGTAAAAAACCTGCACGTTCTACATATGTATCCCAGAACTTAAAGTATAATAAAAAAAAAATTTTCTCTATTTCTGTCAGGGATATTGGCCTGAAATTTTCTTTTTTGTTGTGTCTCTGTCAACTTTTATTAAACCTGTGATTTTAAAAGCAAACGTTCTTAATTTTGATCAAGGGCAATTTATACAATTTATACAATTTTCCTTTTATGTATTGTGTTTTTATATCACAGACACCTAAGGTTACTAAGATTAGTTCTCTATTTTCTTTTACAGATTCAACAGCTTTAGTGCTTACATTTAAGTCTATGATAGATAATAGGTTAATTAGCATAAAATTATGAGTTAAACACTGAGGTTCTTTTTATTTAAGTTGTATATTTATTTTTTTTCTACTTCTTTATATTTTTGTATTGTCACCTTTGTGGAAAATCATTTGACCAGATATCCTGGATGTATTTCTGGAAACTTGATTTCTTTCCATTATTTTACATGTCTCTTTTTATACAAATACAACTCACTGAGTATTGTACCTTTATATAGTCTTGAAATAAGTTATTATAAATCTTCCAATGTTTTTTCCCAAAATTAAAGACAGTTTACTTTTGTACATTGACCTCATATTTAACTAAATTCCTATGTTATTATACTTCTAGTAACATTTTTGAGATTTATTATTTTTTCCCCAAGGGACACTTGCTCTTTATAAGTAAAGGCAGAGTGTTGTATGTATTATGCATTTTATTTCTTCATGCCTTGTTTCACAAGTTAGGACGTCCATAATTTTTTTTTTTTTTTACTATTTTTTTGTTTCTTGAGATGGAGTCTCACTCTGTCACCCAGGCTGGCGTGCAGTGGCACAATCTCAGCACATTGCAAGCTCTGCCTCCCAGGTTCAAGCCATTCTCCTGCCTCAGCCTCCTGAGTAGCTGGGACTACAGGTGCCCACCGCCGCGCCCTGCTAATTTTTTATTTTCGTATTTTTAGTAGAGACGGGGTTTCACAGTGTTAGCCAGGATGGTCTCAATCTCCTGACCTCGTGATCTGCCCTGGGCTTCCGAAAGTGCTGGGATTACAGGCGTGAGCCACCACGTCCGGCCGAAAATTTTGAATGTAATTTTGAATATGGATTTTATTTCTTGTTTCTGATCTTAGGAGTAAGAAATCCAGCCTTTTAAAATTAAATACAATATTGGTCATAGGTTGTTAATTGATGGCCTTTATCACATTGAGAAAGTTCCCTTTATTTCTTGTTTTCAAATTGTTCTTATAATGAATAAATGCGGAGTTTCACCAAATGCTTTTTCTGTATCTATTAATCATGTTTTCCCTTTTTTGTTTTCTTAATATTTCAAATTACACTGGTTCATTTTCAAATATTGAACCTTAACTTTGCATTCTAGGTCAGGGCAGTCATGAGCTTTCTTTGCTTGTTTTCCTTCCCTCAAGAGTCTTTTTCCTGTGTATTGTTAGATATTTGAAAACCACAGTTGCATACAATTTGTTGTATGCAATACTGCATACAATATTGTTGTTTGAAACATAAGGGTGAGTCTGGTGCCTCTTACTATACCATGATCATATTGATTCTGTCCAAATTCTTAATATTCAGTTCTTACTTCTCATGAATAAACCTCAGCCTGTTTCTTCAGTTAGTTACACTTATGTTCCCTCAGACCTAAGCTCCTGATTGGCATTCAAACTATTCCGAGAAAGGGGTAGAGCCTTTGATTTTCACTAATGACTCTCTTTTAAGTTTCTTTTAAATTCTTTGAAACTCTGCTACCACTTCCAGAATGCTCTGAAAACAACGTGACTTCCTAGACTTCACTAACAGTTTCCACTTTCCTGGCATCAATCTCTTCTAGCACTAGCTCATGCCCCTAATCATCTTTTCTCAGTCTGGAAGTCTCGCTAATGTCTTCTCAACCCAAAGTGTGTGAAATCTATCCTACAGAATATAAATCCCTGGCACATGCCAGGAAAGCAATTTCTCTGCAAAGATACCTATTTGCTTTGATGATTATTATTTACAGATATTATATCCTGATTTTAAGCACTTATTTTAAACTGTAAATATCTTATTTTGAGATATAAAGAGAAATTTCATAGGGCTTTGTGTCTGGAATTGGTGGGTTCTTGGTCTCACTGACTTCAAGAATGAAGCCACGGACCCTCGTATCACAGTTCTTAAAGGCGGCATGTCCGGAGTTTGTTCCTTCTGATGTTCAGATGTGTTTGGAGTTTCTTCCTTCTGGTGGGTTCGTGGTCTCACTGGCTTCTGGAGTGAAGCTGCAGACCTTCAGGTTGAGTGTTACAGCTCATAAAGGCAGTGTGGACCCAAAGAGTGAGCAGCAGCAAGATTTATTGCAAAGAGTGAAAGAACAAACCTTCCACAGTGTGGAAGGGGACCTGAGCAGGTTGCCACTGCTGGCTTGGGCAGCCTGCTTTTATTCTCTTATCTGGCCCCACCCACATCCTGCTGATTGATCCATTTTACAGAGAGCCGATTGTTCTGTTTTACAGAGAGCTGATTGGTCCATTTTGACAGGGTGCTGATTGGTGTATTTACAATCCCTTAGCTAGACATAAAGGTTCTCCAAGTCCCCACCAGACTCAGGAGCCCAGCTGGCTTTACCCAGTGGATCTGGCACTGGGGCTGCAGGTGGAGTTGCCTGCCAGTCCCGCGCAGTGCGCCTGCACCCCTCAGCCCTTGGGTGATCGATGGGACTGGGCGCCCTGGAGCAGGGAGCGGCACTCCTCGGGGAGGCTCGGGCTGTGCAGGACCCATGGTGGGGTTGGGGGAGGCTCAGGCATGGCGGGCTGCAGGTCCGGAGCCCTGCCCTGCGGGGAGGCAGCTAAGGCCCAGCGAGAAATCAAGAACAGCAGCTGCTGGCCCAGGTGCTAAGCTCCTCACTGCCAGGGGCTTGCGGGCCGGCCGGCTGCTCCAAGTGCAGGCCTGCTGAGCCCACGCCCACCCAGAACTCAGGCTGGCCCCCAAGTGCTGCAGGCAGCCCCGGTTCCTGCCCGCGCCTCTCCCTCTACACCTCCCTGCAAGTTGAAGGAGCCGGCTCCGGCCTTGGCCAGCCCAGAAAGGGGCTCCCACAGTGCAGTGGTGGGCTGAAGGGCTCCTCAAGCGCGGCCAGAGTGGGCGCCAAGGCTGAGGAGGCACCAAGAGCAAGCGAGGGCTGCGAGAGCTGCCAGCATGCTGTCACCTCTCAGCTTGACTTGCGAATAGTTGAAATATGTCCCTTGATTTTCTAAACAATGAAAATATTATTGTGCCCTAGATTATTTTCTTACACCTAGAACTTGACATTGGAAATGTTGCTTTTCTAGATTAATTTGAAAGAAACAGACTTACTTCTTAAAGAATATTTTACTTACGTTCTATAAAGTAGAAAATAAATAAACACTTAAAGGGATCAGAATCATAAGTCTTACAAGTATCACTTGGGCAGGAATTAGTTTCTTGCTTTACTTTGCAGTAGTTGCTCAAAATTACGAGTAAAAGAAAGGAAAATAGATAGCTTCAGGAATGATGGAGGGGAGAGGAATGGCCTAAAAGCAGGATGCATAGTGGTGAAAAGTAAACTATTTTACAGTTTCATCTGGAGTTGGACCAATATAGCATAAAACATTTGAAGTTAGTATGATTGTCTGTAGCCATGTGGCTGGATGAATCCACAATGATCGTTAAAGGGGCCACTGACAAATACCATACAAAAAACTGTGACTTATCTACCTAGTCATTTACATCATTATACTTCTCACAGTGAAGAATGAGAAAGTATTTTAAAAGTAGACATAGCTTTAAAAGATGTGCTCTGTTTGTCAAGAGTTCTATTCTAGTATCTAAGCGATGGCTGATTATTTTAATAGATGTTTTCAATTTCTTAAAAATTGACAGATTAGGCCGGGCGCGGTGGCTCACGCCTGTAATCCCAGCACTTTGGGAGGCCGAGGCGGGCGGATCACGAGGTCAGGAGATCGAGACCATCCCGGCTAAAACGGTGAAACCCCGTCTCTACTAAAAATACAAAAAATTAGCCGGGCGTAGTGGCGGGCGCCTGTAGTCCCAGCTACTTGGGAGGCTGAGGCAGGAGAATGGCGTGATCCCGGGAGGCGGAGCTTGCAGTGAGCCGAGATCCCGCCACTGCACTCCAGCCTGGGCGACAGAGCGAGACTCCGTCTCAAAAAAAAAAAAAAAAAAAAAAAAAAAAAAAAAAAAAAAAAAATTGACAGATTAAGGAAGCTTTTGTCTAAGAAATGACAACATCTTGAGATGCCTTGTCTTTCTTGGTCAAGGACCTTCAAACAAAAATTAAGACACCTGACTAAGGAAGGTATGTTGATCTCACCTAATTCCTTATTCCTAAAGGTGTCAAGCAGGGAAAAAAGGAGGCTAAAAACAATAGCAGAATCAACCTATTCTAAATGGCAATCCTATTTTGGTAGCAGAACCAGACCTCCCTGGCAGGGCTGCTCAGGAGAGCATATGGTTACTCGAATCTGTTCACGTCCAGGGAACATAGGTTTCTTGATGTGACATGTGGTTGCTAAAGCCACAAAGTTGAAATGTCTACTTTCTTTGTTGCAACAAAACCTGGTTTTATGGCTAAAAGTTTTATCTGTTGCTGATAGATAGTTTTAATTCTCAAAAGAGAACGAGAATAAATGAAAAATAATATAAATTTTGTACTAAAAACTAAATATTTCATTCAGATAGAAAAGTCTCACTTTCTCCATAAAAACTTCACTCACTCAGAGCCTCATTGATTGTAATGGTGGTCATTTTGTAACTTATCATGTATTGGCTAGTGTTACACTTTTTTCTGTTTCGAACATTTATCTTTGTAAGCCCAATTTAAGCTTGTGGGTGAATTCTTAGAAAATATTTGATAAATACTGCTATTCAGTTGAGGAAAACAAAGGGAAAATAAATCCAAAATGACTTCAAATTACTCTATTTATGTTTGTTCCGTATTCTAAATTCAAACCAGACTCAGTCCCAGGGTTATGCCTTTAACCTGCTGTACTAATCTTTTGGGCTTTTTAACCTGTTAGTGCAATGTGATATTGCTTTTTGGTCATAATACTAAAGCCATTTATCTCCATTCTGTTATCTTTTACTTGTCATAACTCTCAGTTCCAACAGCAAAAGTTCGCAGAGAAACATCTACGGTTGATAACTGAAATTGAAAAACCCTTCCAGAATCCTGATACAGGATCCCCTTGCGCTGGGTTTTCTTTCCTGAAGGGACATATGTACTACAGTCCAGAAAAAGCGTGCTGTAGAAAACACAGTTTTAGTGAATTATATGCAGCTGGTAAGGTATTTCAACTAATACATCCAGTTTTTTAACATTTGGAGAGATAAGATCAAAATGTGTACATGAAACTCATGTTTATTTTTATTATGATTTAGTTAAGATAGTAGTAAATTGGAATATGGAAGAAACAAGTTTGTAGCAATGCTTCTTTATTGAAACAATAGCTAATATTCAGTTAACTCTATTTCAAAGTACAGCAGTATACCAGTATGAAAAGTATAAATGAAGTAAAATGATTCATATTAAACTGCAGCAGACCCCCAGCCGGCACATTCTTCTGTACGAATGATATACAGGTTAGTTATTTCTATATCATCCATATTTATATCTGTATCTATCTCACACATAATATGAAAATATTTTTGTATAACATAACATGGGATGCATAAATGGTAAGCACATATTGATAAATATTAATGGTAATAATCATATAAGAAAAATAAAATATAATATACTATGATTTGTACAAAGTTGTACATTATTTAGTTTTACCTCCATATCAAGACTGTCAAAAAGGAATGTCAAATATCTATAACTGGTATGATCTTCTTCATGAATTCTAGTGATAATTATAGTATATCACATTTACATTCTTTTTTTTTTTTGTAAATTACTTGAAGTTTCCACCTGCTAACTTAGGAAATCCTGGGCAATCTTTGTTGTCTTTTACTGGCAGGCTGAATGGAGAAGACTATAAAGACCCAAAGGAAGACAGTACAAGTCATGACAGAAACTTGTGTTGCTAGATGATTTCATGGAACAGAGCCTCTATCCTCATCACTTCCTGCAACCTAAATTCGAGCTGTTATAGAGCTAGCCTACCTCACTAATATATTATTCATCCTAAATTTACATAAAAGTGAAAACCAAAATTGTAATACTTCTGTCTTGCTTCCTCTGGGAAACTTCTTTCTTGGATATGTAGCCATAAAATGAAACTAATTTCTTAAGATACTCAAGGCACATGTTTCTGCTTTTCAGATTTGGTTTCTATCAAAAACTCTTTTGCTTTAATTATGAACATGTTTGCCTCCAAAATAAATGAGAAAATGCTATTTATTTATTTAAACAGGTTAGGAGATTCTTCATGAAGTCGAGGGCTTTGTCTTTAAAACCAGAACCTAGAATAATGCTACTATGATAGCACTCAGGAAATTTTGATTTAATTATTTACTAAATGACTTCACTTGAATTCAGAAAATCTTAGTTTAATTATGAAAGGTATTTAAAAACACACACATATATAAATATAAATATATATATATTTAAACACATATATATAACGCATGTATGTGTACATATAATAATGACATATGACACATGTTTAAAAAATTGACAGCTCTGTTCAAATGTCAATACAATGTTGTAAAGAAGACATTGAAATAAGGTTATAGATATGAGACTGTGTCCTTTATACAAGTATCAAATTGCATTTTTAAATATAATAATATTATTAAACCTAGACAACATATTCACACATTAGGGGTGGTAATCTATTGAAAAAATATTACTTGCAGTCAAAATATATTACCTAAAAATCACATCCACTTATGGTCTTTTATAAAGGCTTTTTAAAGATACTTTCTAACTAAATTTATTTTCATATTTCTGCAAAGTTAAGAATTATACAATACTTCGCATCCTTAAAAATAATGCCATCTAAACTATTCTAAGCACTTTTACATGAAATATCTTATTCAATCCAACTATAATCCATTAAGAATTAAACTATTAGTTACATGCAGCTGGAGTGGTTCTATTGCCTACGCCACACAAAAATAATAGCTTATGGAACCAGAATTTAATTAACACTGGGTTCAAGTTCTGTACATGTAGCTACGATGGCCTACTTTTTCTAGTCATATCATACTAATATAAATTTTAGCCCAATAGTATAATTATAGAGAACATAACTTATTTGACTTATTTTTGTAACTTCAAAAAGGAAATGATTTGTACTCATTTCTTGTATTTCTCACAGGGAAAATTATTCTTTTATTGAAAAGGTGAGGAAAATTCTGCTTTTGTTAGTCTGGATTCCAGGGAAAGATAAAAAAAAAACTTTTAATTTAAGAATTAGCAGAATTATTAAATCATACTCCGTAAGTACCCCAAATAACTGAGTAGCATCTCTCTTACCAAATTGAGTGGATAATATAACCCTACTCAAATATCTGTGTAAGAATTGGTAGTATTTACAAAATCTTTTTTATTTTCCAATTTGAGTCTGGTAAGAAAATAGTTGTTTTAATAAATTAGGTACATAAAACTATATCTAAGTCATTTTTTTGCTAGGCGGAACTGTAGGTACCACTTTACCCAGATCTTCTGTTTTGTCTTATGAAGTAAAAATGATTTAAAACATTGAAGAATTTACTGTCATTTTTATGATATTTAATCAAATAATGAAATCTTAAAAATCTTAAGAAATTTAAAGGTCAATTTCTTACCATAGGACATTTCCCCTTAAAATACGCGTGATTTAGCAATATCTAGCCTTCATTATATCATGCTAATTAAGTCACTTACTGTTCCATATTCAACGTTCAAAATAACATAGTTTAAATGTTGGGAAGAGTGAGGAAAATGGCGGATAGGAGGCAGGACCAGCTTGCAGTTCCCACTCCAATGAACAGAGCAGTATGTGGTGACTCCCATCAAGAACTTTCGCTCCAAGAACTACTGCAGGAACATACCAGGAAAGCCGAGATAATCCACAGACCCTTTGAAGGAAGTGGATTTCTCCTGCAGGCCCTGGGAGACAACTGAAAAACCCTGAGTGCCCAAAGTGTGAAAATGTGAAAGGGGGATCATCTGCCCCTGAACACACACCCTCACTGGGGAACTTGAAGGTTCAGATCACGAGAGAAGGATTTGACCTTACCTGAAGCTGAGACAAATTTAGAGAGTCAAGTGAAATACAGGGGTAGAAGTAGCAGTTGGAAGAGCCCTGTGGGCTCTCTTGGTCCCCAGGGAAGCTATTTCTGACTTTGTCTCACAGACGTCCTTGGAAAGGGCTGCGGGAGAAATTGAGAAAAGACCATAAGGAGAAGGAAATTTCCCTGGCTGCTTGGAAATAGACTTGGTGCTGTTGTGGGGGCACACGGTGAGAGTTAGACCAGCCATTTGGGCTGTGTGAGAGCTGGGTGAGTCCTATAACTTCTGGCTTTCCCCCCACTTCCCTGGTGAACGGTATGACACAGCAGAGGCAGCCATAATCCCCTGGGAACATAACTCCATTGGCCTGAGAACCACACCCACATCCCCCAAAGCAGCTGCAGAAGGAACCACCCAAGGAGATTCTGAGCTTAGACACGCCTAACCCTGCCGCTACCTTATGGTCTTTTTCTACCTACCCTGGTAGACAAAGACAAAAGATATAACCTCCTGGGAGCTCTAGGACCCCACACACCACATGATCCTCCCTATAGCATCTCAGCTGATGCCTTCTTGAAAGTGCCACCTCCTGGGTGGTGTCCAAAAAACATAAAACTAGTGCAATAAACAAAACTACAACTAAGTACCCTCACAGAGTCCATTTGATGTGCCTGCCACTTCCACCAGACGAGGTGCTGCTATCCACAGCTGAGAGACCTGAAGGTGGTTCACATTGTATGAGTCTGTGCAGGTGCCCCCGAGTACCAGCCCAGAGCCTGGTAGCTACACTGAGTGGCTAGATCCAGAGAGAAATAACAATCACTACATTGGGCTCTCAGGAAGCAACACTCCTGAGAGGAATGGGGAGAGGAATGGAGGAAGGGGGAGAGCACTACATCAAGGGAGCATGCATGGGACAAAACAATCTGAAGAGCAGTCCTTGGGCCCCAGATTTCCCTCTGACATAGTCTACCCAAATGAGAAGAAAGCAGAAAAAATATTCTGGTAATATAACAAAACAAGGTTCTTTAACACCCCCAAAAGAGCACACTAACTCACCAGCAATGGATCCAAACCAAGAAGAAATCCCTGCATTGCCAGAAAAATAATTCAGTTCAATTATTAAGCTATTCAAGGAGGAACCAGAGAAGAGTGAAATTCAACTTAATAAAATTATACACACACACATACACACACACACACACACACACATATATGTGTATGTATGTATATATATATATATATATATATGATGTGAAGGGGAAAATCTTCAGTAAAATAGATAGTATAAATAAAAAACAATCACAACTTCTGGAAATGAAAGACACATTTGGAGAAAAGTAAAATGCACTGGAAAGTCTCAGCAATAGAATTGATGAGCAGAATAAAGAACTGCAGAACTCGAGAACAAGGTTTTTGAATTAAGCTGATCTAACAAAGAAAGAGAAAAAAAAATAAGTAAATGAATGACCTCCAAGAAGTTTGAGATTATGTTTAATGGCTAAATCTAAGAACAATTGATGTTCCTGAGGAAGCAGAGAAATCTAAAAGTTTGGAAAACATTTGAGGGAATAATTGAGGAAAGCTTTCCCAGCCTTGCTTGAGATCTAGACATCCAAATACAAGAAGCTCAAAGAACACATGGGAAATTCATCACAAAAAGATGAAGTTATCTAAAGTCAAGATGAAGGGAAAAAATCTTGATAGCTGTAAGGCAAAAGCACCAGGTAACCTATAAAGGAAAACCTACCAGAATAACAGCAGATTTCTCAGCAGAAACCCTACAAGCTAGAAGAGATTGGGGGTCCTATCTTCAGTCTTCTTAAACAAAACAATTTTCAGCTAAGAATTTTGTATCCAATGAAGCTAAGCTTCATAAATGAAGGAAAGATACAGTCTTTTTGAAACAAACAAATACTGAGAGAATTTGCCACTACCAAGCCAGCGCTACAAGGACTGCTAAAAGGAGCTCTAAATCTTGAAATAAACCTTCAAAATACACCAAAATAGGACCTCCTTAAAGCATAAATCTCACAGGACCTATAGAACAATAACACAGTAAGTAAATTAAAAAAACAAAACAAAACTGGTATTCAGACAACAAAGAGCACAATGAATAGAATAATACCTCACATCTCAATATAAATGGCCTAAATGCTGCATTTAGAAGATACAGAATGGCCGAATGGATAAGAATTCACCAACCAAGTGTCCACTGTCTTCAAGATACTTGCCTGACACATAAGGACTCACATAAACTTAAGGTAAAGGGGTAGAAAAAGATATTCCATATAAATGAACACAAAGAGAGAGCAGGAGTACCTATTCTTACATAAGGCAAAACAAACTTTAAAGCAATAGCAGTTAAAAAGGACAAAGAGGGACATTATATAATGATAAAAGGACTAGACCAACAGAAAAATGTGACATATATACGCACCTAACACTGGAGCTTCCAAATTTATAAAACAATTACTACTACACCTAAGACATGAGATAGATAGCAACACAATAATAGTGGGGGGACTTCAATACCCCGCCCACAGCGCTAGACAGGTCATCAAGACAGAAAGTCAACAAAGAAACAATAGATTTAAACTGTACCCTAGGACAAATGGACTTAACAAATATTTACAGAATATTCTATCCAATAATTGTAGAATATACATTCTATTCATCAGCACATGGAAAACTCTCTGAGGTAGACCATATGATAGGCCACAAAACAAGTCTCAACAAATTTAAGAAAATATAAATTATATCAGCTACTCTCTCAGACCACAGTGGAATAAAATGGGAGATGAACTCTAAAAGGAACCCTCAAAATAATGAAAATACATGGAAATTAAATATGTTGCCCCTGAATGATCCTTGGGTCAACAATGAAATCAAGATGAAATTAAAATTTCTTTCAATTGAACAATCATAGTAATACAACCTATCAAAACCTCTGAGATACAGCAAAGGTGGTGCTAAGAAGAAAGGTCATAGCATTAAATGCCTATTTCATAAAGTCGGAAAGAGCCCAAATAGACAATCCAGAATCACACATCATAGAGCTAGAGAAATAACAACAAATCAAACCGAAACCCATCAAAAGAAAAGAAATAACCAAGATCAGAGCAGAACTAAATGAATTGAAACAAGAAATACAAAAGATAAATGAAACAAAAGCCTGGGTTTTTGAAAAGAAAAATAAAATTGATAGACCATTAGTGAGATTAAGCAAAAACAAAAAATCCAAATAAGCTCAATTAGAAATGAAATAGGAGATATTATAACAGATACCACAGAAATATAAAAACATAATTCAAGGTTACTATGAACACCTTTACACACATAAATTAGAAAACCTAAAGGAGATGGATAAACTCCTGGAAAGATACAACCCTCCAAGATTAAACCAGGAAGAAATAGAAACTCTGAACACATCAATAACAAGCAGCAAGATTGAAATAGTAATAAAAAAATTGCCGACAAAAAAAAGTTCAGGACCAGACAGATTCACAGCTGAATTTTATCTGATATTCAAAGAAGAACTGATACCAATCCTACTGATACTATTCTACAAGACAGAGAAAGAGGCAATCCTCCCTAAATAATTCTGTGAAGCCAGATCACCCTAATATCCAAACCAGGAAATGACATAACAAAAAAAGAAAACTATAGACCAATATCCCTGATGAATATAGATGCAAAAATCCTTAATAAAATACTAGCTAAGCAAATCCAACAGCATATCAAAAACATAATCCACCATGATCAAGTGGGTTTCATACCAGGGATGCAAGGATGTTTCAACATCTGCAAGTCAATAAATGTGATACACCACATAAAGAGAAGTAAAAACAAAAATCACATGATCATCTCAACAGACACAGAAAAGGCATTTGACAAAATTCAGCATCACTTTATGATTAAAACCCTCAGCAAAATTGGCATAGAAGGGTCATACCTTAATGTAATAAAAGCCATCTATGTCAAACCCACAGCCAACATTATACTGAATGGGAAAAAGTTGAAAGAATTCCCCCTGAAAACTGGAACAAGACAAAGATGCCCACTCTCACCACTCCTCTTTAACATAGTACTGGAAGTCCTAGCCAGAGCAATCAGACAAGAGAAGGAAATAAAGGGCATCCAAATCAGTAAAAAGGAAGTCAAACAGTCACTGTTTGCTGATTATATGATTGTATACCTAGAAAAGCCGAAATATTACTCGAAAAATTCCTGAAATTGACAACTGAATTCAGCAAAGTTTCAGGATACAAAATTAATGTACATAAGTCAGTAGCTCTGCTATATACCAACAACAACCAAGCTGAGAATCAAATCAAGAGCTAAATCCCTTTTATAATAGCTGCACAAAAGTAAAATACTTAGGAATAATCCTAAACAAGGAGGTGAAAGACCCGTACAGGGAAAACAACGAAACACTGCTGAAGAACTCGTAGATGACAAAAACAAATGAAAGCACATCCCATGCTCATGGATGGGCAGAATCAATATTGTGAAAACGACCATAATAACCATACTGCCAAAAGCAATCTACAAATTCAATGCAATTCCCATCAAAATACCAATATAATTCTTTGTAGAACTAGAAAAAACAATCCTAAAATTCATATGGAACCAAAAAAGAGCCTGCATAGCCAAAGTAAGGCTAAGAAAAAAGAACAAATCTGAAGGCATTACATTACCTGACTTTACACTTTAAGGCCATAGTCACCAAAACAGCATGGTACTTATATGAAGATAGGCACATAGATTAATGGAACAAAATGAAGAGCCCCGAAATAAAGCCAAATACTTACAGCCAACTGATTGTCGACAAAGCAAACAAAAGCATAAAGTTGGGAAAGGACACCCTATTCAACAAATGGTGCTCGGATAATTGACAAACCACATGTCGAATAACGAAACTGGATCCTCATCTCTCATTTTACACGGGAAATGAACTCAAGATAAATCTAGGACTTAAATCTAAGATTTTAAACTATAAAAATTCTAGAAGGTAACATTGGAAAAACTCTTGTAGATGTTGGCTTAGGCAAAGACTTCATGACTGAGAATCCAAAAGCAAATGCAACAAAAACAAAGATAAATAGGTGGGACTTAATTAAAGTAAAATGCTTTTACACAGCAAAAGAAATAATCAACAGAGTTAACAGACAATCCACAGAGTAGGAGAAAATCTTCACAATCTATATCTTTGACAAAGGACTAATATCCAGAATCTACAAGAAAATCAGTAAGGAAAAAACAAACAATCCTTTCAAAAAGTGGGCTAAGGACTTTTTTGCAAATTGCAAAAATTGTGAATTTGCAATTGTAAAACTATGGAACCAGCCAAATTCCCATCAATCAGAGAGTGGACAAAGAAAATGTGGTATATATATATATATATATATATATATATATATATATACACACACACACACACACACACACACACACACACATATGTGTGTGTATATATGCATATATATGTGTATATATGTATGTGTATATGTGTATACACATATATGTATGTGTATATATGTGTGTATATATATGTGTATATATATATAAATACATACCATGGTATACTGCTCAGCATAGAAAGGAATGAAATAATGGCATTTGCAGCAACCTGGATGGAATTGGAGATCGTTATTCTAAATGAAATAACTCATGAATAGAGAACCCAACATTGTATGTTCTCACTCATAAGTGGGAGCTAAGCTATGAGGATGCGAAGGCATAAAAATGATACAATCGACTTTGGGGCTTGGGGGAAAGGATGTGAGGGGGGTGAGAGATAAAAGACTACACATTGGTATAGTGTACTCTGCTTGAGTGATGGATGAACCAAAATCTCAGAAATCACCACTAAATAATTTATTCATGTAATCAAACACTACCTGTTTCCCAAAAACATTGAAATAAAGATAATAAAGAAGTTTTTATTTTACATTTAAATATACTTTTCTGTAGTATAAGTTTATTAGCCCTAGATTTATAACTATATAGAAAAGTCTAACACTTTAAATTTTAAAAACAATTATGTTTCCCATTCTTTTTCTTGAACTCTTGAGTATTACATTAGATATTTGCCTGTTTGTCAATATCACTCATTAAAGTGGTTCACAGAAGAAAACAAAAAAATATTTTTTATTTTGTCTTATTAAAAAACAAAGACCAAGTTAATCAATGCTAAAGTGTTTTTGAATTCTGAATTTCTGAAATATTTCCCTTCCTTGAGCAAATCTAAAATTTGAGCAGGATTTTTTGATTCATTCATACATAGGCCAGTATTTCTAAATCAGAATATTATATAATGATTGGCAAACTGATTTTAATGAAGCTTAAAATTTATAAATGATCACAAGATAACACATTTTATTCTGAGAATGAGTTTCAATGGCATTTCTATAGACTTTTCTACTTAAAGAAAATATGAAAAGGAAGTCAAATCTCTGTACACACATTAATATTTTCACATTTAATACAAAAATTAGAAAAATAAAAACTAATTTTATCTGGTTATTGGGTCAGAGTGAAGTCTGATTTTTAATTGTCTAACTTCTACTATTGCTAATTAATTGTATGTGGCAATTTTCCAACTTGCTTTACAGCTCTTATTTTAAAGTTTAACTATCTTCCCAGTGAAAAAGCTGTGAGGACAGACAAGATTTCTGAGAGTTCTACACTTTGGGTATTTTTGACATTGTGGAAGGTTATGTTACACCAATGACTAAATTTCTTCTTTGCTAACTATATACCTAATCTGTTCTAAAAAATGGATGTTGAAATATTTTCTCAGTGATATATTCCTAAGAACATATGGAATGAAAGGCATCAGCTAAATAGAAATCACCATGCCCTATTCTTTGGAAGAGGTATTGTAAGTTTTGCTAGCAAAGATATTAAAATGGTCTGTTCAAGGGAAATTATAAAAGAAAATGATTTCATATAAAAGTTGAATGATGACAACTTAAAACTATCTTAAATATGCATGATGAAAAGTTGTTGATAGTATATTACACAGCTTACCTATTAAGTTTATTTAGATAAATATGCATTAAAAAGCAATAAACTGTTTTCTATTTGTGAATTTTATCATGACATTATTGAAACCTATTATGTCTCTTTACACTTACCATGTAAATTACATTTTATGTTATTTAAAATATATGACATGGCATTTAATTATTTAAAAGAAGAACCAAACTATTTCTGGTAATGGAAAATTATGATTGAATTGTCAAATGATTATACAACAGTTGAGGACTCATAAATAGCTGAAAAGTTTTCCAATATGATTAGAAATTTGAAAAAAATTGAATTTTCCTGACAATTAGTGATGTTGAACACCTCTTCATGTGCTTCTTCTTCTTCTTTTTTTGAAACATATTCTTTGGAGAAATTTCTACTTATATCCTTTGCTCATTTTTAAATTGGTTTTTTGTTTGGTTTCATCTGCTATTGAGTTGTAGAAGTTCCTTGTATATTTTTGCCATTAACCTCTTATCAGATGTGATTTGTAAATATTTTCTCCCATTCCATGAATTGTTTCATGCCTCTGTTGTTTCCTTTGCTGTGTAGAAACTTAAATTTGATGGAGTCTCACTTGTATATTTTTGTTTTTGTTGCTTGTATTTTTGGTGTCGTATCCAATAAATAATTTCCTAGACGAATATCAGGATGCTTTTCCCCTGTGATTTTGTTTTCTAGAGTTTTACAGTTTTAAATCTTACATAAAACAAGGAGATATCACTTCACATCTATTATGGTGGCGATTGTAAAAAAAAGATAACAAATGTTGGCGAGGATGTGGAGAAATCGATGTCATTGTACATTATTTGTGAGAAGGTAAAATGATGCAATTGCTATGAAAAATAGTATAAAATTTCCTCAAAAAATTAATAAATAGAACTAGCACATCATCCAACAATGCCACTTATTGGAATGTATCTAAAATAATTAAAATCTGGATCTTGAAGAGACATCTGCCCTCTCATGTTTGTGGAAGTTTTATTCGCAATAGCCAATATACAGAAACAACTCAAATATCTATTGACAGATCAATGGATAAACAAAATGTGACATTTATATTATTCAGCCTTAAAAAAGAAAGAAATTCTGGCTGGTTGTGGTGGCTCATGCCTGTAATCCCAGCACTTTGGGAGGCTGAGGCGGGCGGATTGCCTGAGGTCAGGAGTTCGAGACCAACCCCGTCTCTATTAAAAATACAAAAATTGGCCAGGTGTGTTGGCATATGCCTGTAGTCCCAGCTACTTGGGAGGATGGCTTGATCCTGGGAGGCAGAGGTTGGTGTGAGCTGAGATGGTGCCACTGCACTACAGCCTGGGTGATAGAGTGAGACTCCGTCTCAAATAAATAAATAAATAAATAAATTAAATAGGAAATTCCGCCATATACAACAGCATAGATGAACTTGGAAGACATTATGGTAAGTAGAATAAGCCAATCACAAAGGACAATTTATGATTCACTTTTATGAGTTATCCAAAAAAGTGAAACTCATAGAAACAGAATTGAATGGAGGTTTCTAGGCTCAGAGGGAGAGAGAAATGGAAATTGCTATTTAATGGGTATGCAGTTTTAGTTGTGCAAGATAAGTAAGTTCTACAGATCTGTCACAACTTTGTTCCTATAGTTAACAATATTGTATTGAATACTTAAAACTTTGTTAAGAGGGTATATCTCTCATTAATGTTTAGACAACTGTAAAAAATAGATATATTTTTAAAAAGGAAATTTGAAAGACACTTGACTTGATCATTAAAATGTCACAAATTTGGATAATTTCTTGTAACTTTCATATCACATAATTTGAGTGTGTTCATTTGAACATTCTTTACCCAGGGTCTTAATAGTTAATATAAAAATAATTATGTGCTAAAAAATAATTGAAAATAATAAATAACACATTTAAGGAGGTCGATTTAATTTTCATAGACTTTAACACTTCAATGTGGACTAAAATCAGTAAGAATGACACAGCCACCCATTTCCCGAACTCATTTTGTCGTGGAAAGCTACAGAACAAGATGTCTTTTGGGAATGTCATTCTATTGCAGTGCTTTCAAACTATCTGGGGTAAAGAATTAAAAACATCTTCTTTATGTAGGCTAATACTTTTATAAATATAATAAAAATTATTATAAAAATAAAATAAATACATTCAAAACATGGCCATCTAATTTTATAATCAGATCTAAAAACACATAAAGTTAATACGTCTAGTAAGTATTTCTATAGACTTACTCTCATGTTCTATACTTCATCTCATCAGGTTTTGAAAACACATATCTCTTTATTGGCAACAATGCAAGGGTCAGATTTTAAGTAGTAATGCTTGCTAGAATACACTTTGTGAAACAGGCCTTGAGGTAAAATACTCCATTGCTCCTTCTATAGCCTCAATGACTAAATGAAAGAAGTGTCATACAACTTTTGCTTAAAACTTTCTGTAGAAGATAACTAACTCAGCAATGGGGAAAGGACTCCTTATTTAATAAATGGTGCTGGGAAAACTGGCTAGCCATATGTAGAAAGCTGAAACTGGATCCCTTCCTTACACCTTATACAAAAATTACTTCAAGATGGATTAAAGACTTAAACGTTAAACCTAAAACCATAAAAACCCTAGAAGAAAACCTAGGCATTACCATTCAGGACATAGGCATGGGCAAAGACTTCATGTCTAAAACGCCAAAAGCAATGGCAACAAAAGACAAAATTGACAAATGGGATCTAATTAAACTAAAGAGCTTCTGCACAGCAAAAGAAACTACCATCAGAGTGAACAGGCAACCTACAGAATGGGAGAAAATTTTTGCAATCTACTCATGTGACAAAGGGCTAATATCCAGAATCTACAATGAACTCAAACAAATTTACAAGAAAAAAACAACCCCATCAAAAAGTGGGCGATGGACATGAACAGACACTTCTCAAAAGAAGACATTTATGCAGCCAAAAAACACATGAAAAAATGCTCATCATCACTGGCCATCAGAGAAATGCAAATCAAAACCACAATCACATACCATCTCACACCAGTTAGAATGGCAATCATTAAAAAGTCAGGAAACAACAGGTGCTGGAGAGGATGTGGAGAAATAGGAACACTTTTACACTGTTGGTGGGACTGTAAACTAGTTCAACCATTGTGGAAGTCAGTGTGGCGATTCCTCAGGGATCTAGAACTAGAAATATCATTTGACCCAGCCATCCCATTACTGGGTATATACCCAAAGGACTATAAATCATGCTGCTATAAAGACACATGCACACGTATGTTTATTGCGGCACTATTCACAATAGCAAAGACTTGGAACCAACCCAAATGTCCAACAATGATAGACTGGATTAAGAAAATGTGGCACATATACACCATGGAATACTATGCAGCCATCAAAAATGATGAGTTCATGTCCTTTGTAGGGACATGGATGAAATTGGAAATCATCATTCTCAGTAAACTATCGCAAGAACAAAAAACCAAACACCGCATGTTCTCACTCATAGGTGGGAATTGAACAATGAGAACAAATGGACATAGGAAGGGGAACATCACACTCTGGGGACTGTTGTGGGGTTGGGGGAGGGGGGAGGGATAGCATTAGGAGATATACCTAATGCTAAATGAAGAGTTAATGGGTGCAGCACACCAGCATGGCACATGTATACATATGTAACTAACCTGCACATTGTGCACATGTACCCTAAAACTTAAAGTATAATAATAATAAAATAAAAAAAGAAGATAACTAACTGAATTTTTCAATTTTTCTTCCACCCTCTCCCTCCTGTTCTTTTTTCCTTCTTCCTTTCTTTCCTTTAATAATGATCCATTATTCAAACAACATTTATTTAAACTATATAAGAAGGAAAGTTGATGTAAAATTTTGTACCAAATATGGATACTGTGGGAAATACAAAATAATGATATAATATATGCTCTCCTGTTAGGGAGATGGTATGTACATAAGTAATTTGTAATATAAGTGCAATAATGCCACAAGAGAATATCATAGTTTGCTACAGGAATTCAGTAGACACTCTCTTTTAGTGTTAAAAAATGATTGTCATATTTGTTTTAGTTTCCATGTATTTGTAGATTTATGCTCTCAGTAGTTATACAGCAAGTCTAATGCTACCTCAATTCAGCCAGCTTGTATATATCTGAAAACAGCTATCATTTCCACGCAACGTCTACTCTTTTTAACACTAAAAATCACCAGTTCCAGCAACTATTTGTTTGGCAATGACATCATTCTATATTACTCAAACCAGTTATTTCATTTATTTCACAAGTATGTTGTACTGACTATAAAATAAAATGAAGCTTATTAAGTTACCTTGTCATTTATGTAAAATCAAATGACATAGATGACCTTCAGTCAGCTAATTACCTTCAGGTCATAGGACTGGGCAGATTGTTTTGTATGTTTGATAAGGCTGTTTAGAAGCTTATCAATTTTACTAATCTTTTCAAACAAACAACTTTTGGTTCAATTGATTTTTCTCTATTTCACTGACTTCTGCTTCTGTTTTTATTACTTCCTTCTACCTGTTTACTTTTTGTATAAATTGCTCTTTTTCTAGGTTCTCAAGGTAGTTGGTGAGATCATTAATTTTTAGCTCTTTCTTATTTTTAATGTAAGTATTGATTGCTATAAATTTCTCTCTAAGCACTACTTTATTTGTTCATACACACTTTGATATGTTGCATTTTCATGTTAATATAGTTCGAAATAAATACTAATTTCTTGCGACTTTTTTGGTATATGAATTTATTTGGAGGTGTGTTAAGTTCCAAATACTTATGTATTTTCCGCATATATTTCTGACATTAATATATAGTTTAATTCAATTGCTGTCAGGTAACATTAAAATTTGAAATTTATTGAGAGTCATTTTATGGCTCAGGATACTGTTTATGTTGGTGTATGATACCTGTGCATGAGAGAGCAATATATATTCTACTATAAATGATACTTAGGTCTAGTTGGTTGGCAGAGTTTTTGAATAAGATCTCTATATCCTTAATATTTTTTTAAACTTCTCAATTACTCAGAGAAGAGTACTGAAATATCCAACTACGATACTGAATTTCTGGAGTTCTCCTTTCAGTAATAGTAACTTTTTTATTTACTTTTTTAAAACTCTGTTATTATATACATTCATTTTAATAATTTTTGTATCTTTTTAATGAAATAATGATTTTGTCATTATTGTAGCTTCCTCTTAATTACTGGTAAAACTCTTTACCTTGAAGTTTACTTCTTCTGATATGTAGTAGAGCTACTCAAGTATTCCTATAATTAGTTGTATGTAGACTTCTAAATATTTTCTTTAAACCTTTATTTTTATATTTAAGATAAAATACTTGGTTAGCAATATCTTTCTACTAATTAGAGTGTTTAAACCATTTACATTTAATATAATTACTGGTGTGTTTAATTTTAAATCTACTATTTTGCTACTTATTTTCTACTTTTTTCCCCTTTTGTCTCTTTGTCTTTTCTGGTAAATTTAATTTTTTTAGGGTTACATTTTATCTTCAGTTTAAATCCTTTTTTTGTTTTGTATGTTTGATAAGGCTGTTTAGAAGCTTATCAATTTTACTAATCTTTTCAAACAAACAACTTTTGGTTCAATTGATTTTTCTCTGTTGATTTTCTCTATTTCGCTGATTTCTGCTTCTGTTTTTATTACTTCCTTCTACCTGTTTACTTTTGGTGTAAATTGTATAAATTGCTCTTCTTTTCCTAGGTTCTCAAGGTAGTTGGTGAGATCATTGTTTTTATTCATAGATGTTTTATTTGTATCTCATTTGTTTATGTTGTTTATGTTGATTATGTACTTGAGTATATTTATAAAATTTATATTAGCAGTCTTGAAGTTGTTATCCGCTAATTTCATAATTTCTGTCATTTATGCTTTTTTATAGATATTGTCGTTTAGTAACATACACATCATATTTCCTTTCCTCTTTGCATGTTTGTTATGTTTTGACTGAATGTCAGATATTGTCAAATTTTTGTAGCTGAGTACTGGATTTTTTATATTCTTTTAAAGAAGCGTGGATTTGATTCTGGGAGGATTTTAAGTTATTTCAGAATCAATATGTTTTTGAAGCTTGATAAATTAATTTTAAGGTTTTTGAAATATGAGTCCAGATTAGCCATTGCTCAGACTCTACTTTAGCCTCATTACTAAGGTGTGACTCTTTATGCAGTGTTATATTTTGTCTTTTATTTTGATGTCTCTTTGTTCTATCTAATGAGAATCAAACTACTCTTAGAGATATGTGAGCTGTGGAGGCTTTTTAGTCTATTTATTACTCCAAATGTGAGGAGTTTTAAACCAGGCATGCACAGTTCATCACTCATCTAAAGACCTATCTGATTTTGTATTCTAATGCAAATTCTAGCCACTTTAGACTCTCTAAATGCCAATATCTGTATCCTCTATTCAATGAGACTCCAGGTTCTAGGTTCCTACTATCTGCAATGCAGCAATAAAATTGACTCAAGGATGTAGTTGGTGAAATCACAAGGCTCATCTCATTCTATTTGATAAAATACTACTCAACAAAATGAACAAACTACTGATACATGCAATAATGAGTGGATTTCAATGCATTTTGCTAAGGGTAAAAAAAAGCTAATCTCAAAAGGTCACATGCTATATGATTCAATTGATAAAATATTCTCGAAATGACAAAATTATAGAGATGGAAGAAAGATTAGTGGTTTCCAAGAAGCAAGGATGGTGGCTATTAGGTTGGTGTAATTATAATGGAACCACATGAGGGAGATCTTTCTGTTTACGGAATAGATTGGTACCTTGATTGCAGTGGTGGTTATACAAATCAATATATGTGATAAAATGGTATAAAACTATACAAATTGTAGCCATACCAATTTCTTAGTTTGCTATTGAATTATAGTTACATAAGTTGTGTCTATTGAAGGAAATGAGAAGAAGTGTACATAGGACCTCTCTGCCTTTTCTGCATCTATTGAGATAATCATGTGGTTTTGTCATTGGTTTTGTTTATGTGATGGATTATGTTTATTGATTTGTGTATGTTAAAAGTGCCTTGCATCCCAGGGATGAAACCAACTTGATTATGGTGAATAAGCTTTTTGATGTACTGCTGGATTCAGTTTGCCAGTATTTTATTGAGGATATTCTCATCATCATCGATGTTCATCAGGGATACTGGCCTGAAGTTTTCTTTTTTGTTGTTGTGTCTTTGCCAAGTTTTGGTATTAGGATGATGCTGACCTCATAAAATGAGTTACGGAAGAGTCTCTCCTTTTCAATTGATAGAATGGTTTTGGAAGGAATGGTACCTGCTCCTCTTTGTACCTCCCATAGAATTCGGCTGGAGCCCAAATGTTTAAATCTTTTCTTTTGAAATTCCATCTTAAAGATTAAAAGCTATTAAAATAATAAAGTTCCTAAAATCCATGGTCAAAGAAAGAAAATAATTTATAAAACACATTTTTCAAAATATTTCTGGGAATTTGAGGGAAAATAAGACAAAATTACAGCACAGTAAAGAGAGAAGTGTCAGAAATTCTTGTTCTGACAAGAAGTATGGTGTCATGTTAGGTAAATATAAAAGAATCTGTTAGAATCCCATCACTCATCTTCTGAGGAACATTAAGGTGCTGCATATGACAGAAACTGTTATGAAGATAGATGGAAAGCTTTCCATTTTAAGTAAATTCATTGCTTCAGATCAAGAAAGTTCAAAAGCAACAACTTTGGTTTACTGAGATTGAGTTTAGACACACAAAACAAAATGTAAATTATATATTATAATTTATGAAAGACATGACAAGTTTTGTGAACTGAAGGAAATCTCGAATTTACAGATCCAGAAATGCCAGGTAAGAACTAGTTAGATCATGGTCACTTGTTTTATAATGGTAAAGATAGCATTTTACAAATCATCAGACAAAAAATCCATACAATTTGTCTATAAACGAATGGACCACTATAGACTTAAGTCCATAATATAGAACACCAGAAGACAATGATTCAAGATGTGGTTCAATAATTTGATGTCTAAAAAATATTGTCATTTTTGTACACTGCAAAGAAAACAATCCCTAGAAACATGATCATTAACTCTGTGGTACTAGGGGATGTTATTGTAGGTCATTGTATTATCATGTAGAGCCAGTGTCTTTTTGGTTTCAACCTAATTCTGTAAGAGAAGAACTTGGTCTGGAGCAGCCAATTTGAAAGCAGAGGTAAAAGGAGAAGTGTTATGGAAACTATCCAGGAAAGTTGCTTAATAGAGCCAATTTAACTGGAAGAACTATTGCTCTTGCATTCTCTTCTTTCTTCCAGCCTGCAAACTTTTTATTTAATGGCTGCAGCTCCAGCATCCATCTTGGATTATGAGGTAATCTTGAGAATGGAAGCCAAGCCCTTGGAGGTAAAGTAGAAAGTTAAATACTTTAGTCACTGGTTGATTGCCTGCCTCTTGGTTTCCTTAATGTAAGGCAGAAATACACTATCTTATTTAAATCAATATTCTTTTGAAATTTTTACTGTGTGTTGTCCAAACCATTTTTTACCTTGTAAAACTGTGTATAATAAATAAGTAAACAAAATTCTGTCCAGGTATATAGTTACTAAGACAAAATAAACAGTTTCACAACTGAACTATGTAAATTGCCATGCAAACAAATAATTGTTAGGAGATGAAAGAGTCATGGAATTTCACTGATTACAATGTTAAAGCTTAATCACTAGGTAATTACCTGCTAAATTTCTGCCTTGTAGAACACTGATTCAAGCATCTAATTCTTTACATTAATTTTGTTATAATTTGTCTTTTCTACGTAGTAGTACTTTCTGTGAAAAAGGAACATTTAAATGTTGAAAGTACCACCCATAAACATTGGAAGATACTGTTTAGGAAGTTTGACCTAAAATTCAAAAGGGTTCCCTCCAACTATGAGAAAATGAGTCATTATTAGCTGAGGGCAAACTTATTGACTTAAAGCAGTAAGAGGAATCTGCCCCCCAAAACAGTAATGGAACAGGTTAGAAACACTGCTTTTAGTTATTCATTTGAAGGCTGTTATGTCTTCCTGAATATGTTTCTTACTAAGGACTTGTACATGGACAAACGTTGCTAACCTATTAACCTTCAAAATGCTATAGTATATTGGAGAAATTCTGGAGCAGGCATATTGAAAACTAATATCTACTAATCTATTAAAGTTCAACCACCAGTATTTTGAATACTGATCATTTAAAAAATTATTCTCTATAAAGATGCATAAACTGAAGAGATTTATTTTGAAATGATTAGTTAAAAATTGTGTCTGAAGGACAAAAGCCAATTCTGGGTGATGGAGAATTTCCAGTTCTAAAATGTTAAACTTCAATGTGTTTTAAAAATACAATTGAAAGCTTTATTGAGGTCAGGAGATCGAGACCATCCTGGCTAACACAGTGAAACCCTGTCTCTACTAAGAATACAAAAAAAAAAAAAAAAAAAATTAGCCGGGCATGGTGGTGCACACCTGTAGTCCCAGCTACTCGGGAGGCTAAGGCAGGAGAATGGTGTGAACCCAGGAGGCGGAGCTTGCAGTGAGCCAAGAACATGCCACTGCACTCCAGCATGAGTGACAGAGTGAGACTCCGCCTCAAAAAAAAAAAAAAACAAAACCACACACAATGGAAGAGAATGATAGAAATGAAGACCAATGTAATGGCATTTATTTGAAACTATGAAATTTTCAGTTTTAGAATAAGAATTGAAAAATATTTTGAATTTATACATATGTTTAGAAAATAAGTAACTTCCTCAGATATCCTAAAATATTTGGTTTATATGTAGTTAAAATATATTTACTACAGTTTACCACATTACAGAAAGAACAACAATACGCAATATAACAAATAGCACATTGCTGCTAAAAGTACCTTAATTTTAAATTTATTTGAATTATTGGTGTTTTCATGGGGATGCCTTGAGGAGTTAAATAAAAATCTAAAATTGACAGGTATACACACATATATATATATATGTGTCAGTTATATATATATATATATATATATATATACCTGTCAATTTTATATATATGTATCTATCCTTAACAATTTTTTTTCTGAAGGGACAATGTTTAAAATTGTAGCATTACCACATTTTTAGCACAATCTTTTGACACTCTCAAATAACTATTATAGTTACCAAAAAATACTTTTCTCATATTTACTGCTTACAAAAAGAATGAGTATATAGAAACTAATTAATATGCCAGTCATTTAATCTAAGTAATTGAAGAAATGACAGAAATATTGCTTCCTAATTTTAAAAAATGTCTACTGATAAGGGATTTTATTATTTTTTTTTAGGTTTGTGAAAATTATTCTTCAAAATACTCTTCCATACTTCTAGCACTCAGAGCAATGACTGAGGGAGTATGGAGGAGTAAAAGAAAAAGAAGCTGTGGAAATATAGGCTTTAAGCACTATTTTAAGATTGAAAATTTGAACTCCAGCGTCTTTCTGTTTATCTCAGAATATCTAGTGATTTTATGGTCTGTGTTTTTCTCTTTTTTTAGTACATTAGTAGGAATTACCAAAAATAACCCTATGTAATTTCTACTGTCTAACATTAATTGTGTGAGAAATGTATGATGCGGCAAGAGGCAGTCCATAGCATCTCAATGGTAGAAATGGTAGAGGTCATCCATTCTAAATTCTTTAATTTGTGGAATATAAAACTGATTGGTAGAGATTACTAGCATGGAAAAACTAGTACTCAATTGTTGAGCTAAACCTAGCCTCTAATGCTCCCAATTGTTTCTTATCTAATGTTCTCACTGGAACTTTTTTTTTCAAATATTTCTACTTACATTCAGACTTTGCCCTTACCTAGCTGGTTAGTTTCATTTTACCTTAAATGACTATTTTTTTCTTTGCTAGTAAGATTAAAGTCTAAATTTTCTTATTTCAGAATGTTATTTACAAATATTTTTTATAAAATATTTATGTAAAATGCATTTAAATATTATTTATTATGCCTATCAGTTTCTCAAAATTGATTTAGAAAAATACTAAATATTGTTTTGACAAAAAGAAAAAAATGAATGAAAGGGCCCACCGTTGTGTCTTAAAACTTGGATAAATAAATCTAAAATACATGATGCATGGTAATGTGCCTATTTCCATGAGTATATATGAGATTGTTTTCCCATAATTTTTCCTTTTTTTGTAACATGCTCTTTCCATATGTCTAACCCTGACATCCTCAAAGCTATCCCTGGAACCTCTATATATCTCATGACCCATATCTCTGGTTCCCTGGCCATAGTCAATAGCACCACAGGTGGCTATGTGAACTAAAATAGGCCAAAGAAATCCTCCCTTGGAACTTATATAATTAAGTATCACAAAAAAAGCATTAATACTAACTCTCACCAGTTAGCAAAGCCATAGGATTTCATAAATTCAGGGGCCATGTTTTGTGTCTTGAAAAGTGGAGAAAGTCGGGAATGTAAAATGATGTCTGAAACCAGAAAACAAAAATTAAAACAAATGCTCTCTACATAAAATTAAATTAAATTAAAAAGGAAGAGAGAGGATGAAAGAGCCCTGGAAACATTACCTGGTTGCTTAGGTCTAGTTGTCCCTAACTGCCAGTCACATCCCCATTCTTCACAAAGCTTTGCTATTTAAACTTACTGGTCTCTTCATGTCTTTTGCCCACTTTTTGTTGAGTTTTTTTTTTCTTGCTAATTTGTTTGAGTTTGTTGTAGATTCTGGATATTAGTCTTTTGTCAGATGTATAGATTGTGAAAATTTTCTCCCACTATGTGGGTTGTTTGTTTACTCTGTTGACTGTTCCTTTTTGGCCATGCAAAAGCTCTTTAGTTTAATTAAATATAAAAATGGACAACAAACATATGAAAAAAATGATCAACACCACTAATGATCAGAGAAATGCAAATCAAAACCACAATGTGATACCACCTTACTTCCACAAGAATGGCCATAATCAAAACAAATGAAAAGATAATAGATGTTGGTGTGGATGAGGTGAAAAGGGAACACTTCAACACTGCTGGTGGGAATGTAAACTAGTACAATCACTATGGAAAACAGTGTGCAGATTCCTTAAAGAACTAAAAGTAGAGGTGTCATTTGATCCAGCAATCTCACTACTGGGTATCTATCCAGAGGAAAAGAAGTCATTTTCCTAAAAAGATACTTGCATACGCATGTTTCTAGCAACACAATTTGCAATTTCAAAAACGTGGAACCAACCCAAATGCCCATCAATCAATGAATGGATAAAGAAAATGTGGTATATTTATATGATGGAATACTAGTCAGCCATAAAAATAAATGAATTAATGGCATTTGCAGCAACCTGGGTGGGCCTGAAGACTATTATCCTAAGTGAAGTAACTCAGGAATGGAAAATCAAACATCGTATTTTCTCACTCGTAAGTGGAAGCTAAGCCACAAGGAGGTAAAGGCATAAGAATGACACGATGGACACAGTGGAGACTCAGGGGGAAGGGTAGGAAGGGGGTGAGGGACAAAAGACTACAAATATGGTGCAGTATGCTGCTTAGGTGATGGGTGCACCAAAATTTCACAAATCACCGCTAAATAACTTATTCATGTAACCAAATAACACCTGTTCTCTAGAAACCTATGGAAATAAAAAATTATTTGAAAAAAACTTACTGGTATTTCAGGAGCCACTGTCTTTCCTGTTTTCAATTAAGTCTCTGTCATTTGCATCTGAGAAAAAGTATCTGAGTGATGTAGAATTTGGGGAGGCAGTGAATATTCCACCAGCTGGATGAAAAGTCAGCAGTCTTTATTAGAAGGAGCAAAGTAGTTCATTAAATAAGACATTGGGCATATGTCTTGAGCTCTAAGAGATAGCTAGATATAAGAAACTTGAGAAAATGTAAATATATTACAGCCCTCAGCAAAGGGTTTTAAGACTGAGATAATTTATCACAGTCTCTGAAAAGTTATACAGAACAACACAAGTATATAGATCTTTTTCTCAAATCAGCATTATTGAGGTATAATTTACAAGTTATAAAACTGCCTATTTTAAGTGTGCATTTCAATGAGTTTTGACTGATATATACATCTCTACTATGCTCAAAATGTAGAATATTTACATTGTTCCCCCAAATATTCTCCTATATTTTTGTAGCTAAATTCCCCTACTTTTAATTCTCAGGCAAAAACTAATCTGCTTTTTGTCATTATAGATTAATTTTTGCCTGATCTAGAATTTTTTATAAATAGAATCATGCAGTAAACATTTTTGTATCCAGGTTCCTTTTTACGCTGTAATGTTTTTGAGATTCATCTATGTGGTTGCTTCTAGTATTAATTCATATGTTTTGAAAAATATCACAGATTGTTTAGTATTCATATGTTTATGAATTCCTGGGGGGTTTCTAATTTGGGACTATTAGAATAAAGTTGCTATAAATATTCTTTCACGAGTTTTGTTTTCTTTAAATTTGATTTTTCTAGTATTATGGAAGTTATCAAACATATAGAAAAGCAGAAATTTTACAATGAGTCCCCATGCAACCACTGATTATTCTACTATTACCATTTTACTATAATTGGTTTGTCACTTTTTGTCTATTTTTATTTCTCAATCCATTTTATTTTTATGAATTTCACAGTTAGCTAGAAATATTAGTAAATGTCACCATAAATATTTTAGCATATATATCATTAAGCACAGTTTAATGTATACTTGCTCTTCTCATTTTTCTTCTAGGGTAAATTTTATGTAAAGCAAAATGCATAAATAAAGTGTACCTTCTTGGTTTTAACATATTTATGCAGTAACTCAAACCTGTACTAATATCTGGGACATTAGTAGCACCCAAACAGTTCTCCCAGGCTCTCAAACTCTGCCCCTATCACCAAAAGGCTAACACTTAAAAAATATTGTTTTCACTTTAGACACATTCCACTAGTTCAAAAAATTTAAATGAGTGTAACCGTATAATATAGACGTACAGGGCATATTTGTTCAGCATGTTTTTGATATTTATCCATGTTGTATATATCAGTAGTTTATTCCTTTTTATTACCAAATACCATTCTATTGTACGGATATACCACGGCATCTTTATACATTCTTGTATTAATGACTCATTACCTGTTTCCAGTTTTGGGCTGTTGTAAAAACTTACTGTACATGCATTTTTGTGGACATACGTTTTTATTAGGCTTAATTATCTGTAGCTAAAATTTCTGATCTAGAGTATGTGCTATTTAGCTTTATTACATACGGGCACATCTTTTTCCACAGTGGTTGTACCTTTTTACCACCAACATTTTTGAGTCTGGTTACTACACTTCCTTGCCAACACTTGGTATTGCTCATTCTTTAAATTTTACCACTTTGATAACAATTAAGTATTCCCGATCTATTCTTTTTTTGAAAAAATAAATTTTATTTTTTTAGAGCAGTTTTAGGATCAAAGCAAAATTTAACAAATTTAGCCGAAGGCATACAGCATTCCCATATATGTCCATAGCCCCCACACAGGCAGAGCCTCCACCATTATCAGCACACCCCATCAGGGTGATACATTTGCTACAATTGATGAGCCTACGTTGACACATTATCATCACCCAAAGTCATAGTTTACATCAGCTTTCACTGTTGGTGTTGTACATTCTATTGAACAAACGTATAATGAAACACAACCACCATGGTAGTATCATACAGAGCAGTTTTAGTGCCCTAATAATCTTCTGCACTCTGTTTGTTTATCTTCCTTTCCTTGCTAACCACTGACAATCACTGATTTTTTTTTTACTGTTTCCATAATTCTGTCTCCAGAATGTCATACTGGAAGACAACATTATCATGATGTCAGTTATTTCCAAGTTGATTAATAGATTCAGTGCAATCCCAAACAAAATCCCAGCAATCTAGTTTTTGGATATTGATAAATTGATTTTAAAGTTTATACCAAGAGGCAAAAGATCCAGAATAGCCAACACGATACTGAAGGAGAAGAACAAAATTTGAGGACTGACACTACCTGACTTTAAGAATTACTATTAAGCTGTTGTGATCAAGAAAATGTGGTATTAGTGAAAGAATAAATAGATCAATGGAACAGAGTAGAGTTAATAAATAGACTCACTTTGATAAAGATCAGTTGACTTTGATCAGTTGTCAAAGATAAAGATCAGTTGTCAAAGTCAACCGATCTTTGACAAAGTAGCAAGGACAATACAATGAAGAAAAGATAGCCTTTTGAAACAATGGTTCTGGAACAACTAGACATTAATATGGAAAAAAAAGAATCTGGACACAGACTTTACATGCTTCAAAAAATTTATTACAATGGATCACAGACCTAAATGTACAACACAAAACTATAAAACTTCTAGAAGATAACATAAAAGAAAATCAAGATGACCTTGGGTTTGGCAATGACATTTAGATACACCAAAGGCACAATCCATTAAAGAAATATATATATATATATATTTGAGACAGAGTCTCACTCTGTTACCCAGGCTGGAGTGCAGTGGCCTGATCTCAGCTCACTGAAACCTCAGCCTCCTGGGTTCAAACGATTCTCCCTCCTCGGCTTCCTGAGTGGCTGGGATTACAGGCATGCGTCACCCGCCCAGCTCATTTTAGTAGAGATGAGGTTTCACCACGTTGGCCGGGCTGCTCTTAAACTCCTAAATTCAGGGGATCTGCCTGCCTAGCCCTCCTAAAGCGCTGAGATTACAGGCGTGAGCCACCTCGCCTGCCCCATTAAATAAAGAATTGATAAGCTAGACTTCACTAAAATTTTCAAAATTCTGCTCAAGGAAAGACACTGTCAAAATAATGAAAAGACAAGCCACAGACTTAAAAAAAATTGCAAAAGCCAAATCTAATAAAGAATTGTCATCTAAAATATAAAAATAACTCTAAAACTCTGCAATAAGAATACAAACAACTTAATTAAAAACTGGACCAAAAAGCTTAACGGACACCTCATTACAAATATACAGATGGCAAAAAAATATATAAAAATGTTCCAAATTTGGTCTTTATCTAATTTCTTTTTGTCTATTTGTACTCATTACATTTTATATTAATTTTAGAACTAGTTTTGCATTATCTACAAACATTTCATTTGAGAATAATTTAATTCTTCTAATCATGGAGTCTTAAGAATGCATAATCATGATATATCTCTCAAGTCTTCCTTTTTAGTTTGTTTACAGTTGTACTAATTTTAATGCATGCATTTAAGGTATACAATGATGTATTTTTAAACTTTTTTTTTAAATCTCCACAGGTTATTGGGGAACAGGTGTTGTTTGGTTTCATGAATATGTTCTTTAGTGGCAATTTGTGAGATTTTGGTGCACCTATCACCCCAGCAGCATACTTCACACTATTTGTAGTCTTTTATCCCTCACCCCCTTCCCAACCTTTACCCCTGAATCTCCAAAGTCCATTGTGTCATTCTTAATGCCTTTTCCTCCTCATGGCTTAGCTCCCACTTAAGAGTGAGAAAATACGATGTTTGGTTTTCCATTCCTCAGTTACTTCACTTAGAATAATAGTCTCCAATCCCACCCAAGTTGCTGCAAATGCCACTAGTTCATTTTTTTATGGCTGACTAGTATTCCATCATATAAATATACCACATTTTCATTATCCAGTCATTGATTGGTGGGCATTTAGGTTGGTTCCACATTTTTGCAATTGCAAATTGTGCTGCTATGAACATGCGTGTGCAAGTATCTTTTTAGGAAAATGACTTCTTTTCCTCTGGGTAGATACCCAGTAGTGGGATTGCTGGATCGAATGGTAGTTCTACTTTTAGTTACTTAAGGAATTTCCACACTGTTTTCCATAGTGATTGTACTAGTTTACATTCCCACCAGCAGTGTTGAAGTGTTCCCTTTTCACTGCATCCATGCCAACATCTATTATTTATTTGTTTGTTTATGGCCATTCTTGTGGAAGTAAGGCAGTATCACATTGTGGTTTTGATTTGCATTTCTCTGATCATTGGTGATGCTGAGCATTTTTTCATATGTTTATTAGTCATTTGTGTATTTAATTAAACTCACAAGCTTTTTCATGGTGAAAGGAACAGTCAACAAATATATATTCCCCCCAAAATGTGGTATATTTATATGATGGAATACTACTCATATATTCCCCCAAATATGTTTTCCAAACTTCTAGAGTTCTCTATTTCTTCAGGAACACTGATTATTCTTAGGTTTGGTCGTTTAACATAATCCCACACTTTCTGGAGGCTTTGTTCTTATTTTCTTATTCTTTTTTATTTGTCATTGTTGGAATAATTCAAAGACCTTGTCTTTGAGCTCCGAAGTTCTTTCTTCTACTTGATGAATTATATTGCTGAGACCTTCCAAAGCATTTTGCATTTCTCTAAGTGTCTCCATTTTCCCCTAAAGTTTTGATTGTTTTTTATTTGTGCTATTTTTTTGAATATTTCTCCCTTCACTTATTGTATCCTTGTTTTGATTTCTTTACACTGGGCTTCGCCTTTCTCTGGTGCCTCTCTGGTTAGCTTAGTAACTAACCTCCTGAATTCTCTGTCAGGTAAATCAGTGATTTCTTGTTGGTTTGGGTTCATTGCTGGTGAGCTAGTGTGATTTATTGGGCGTGTTAAAGAACTTATTTTGTCATATTACCAGAGTTGGTTTTCTTGTTTCTTCTCATTTGTGTAGGCTCTGTCAGAGGGAAGGTCTAGGGCTGAAGGCTATTGTTCAGATTCTTTTGTCTCACTTGGAGTTCCCTTGATGCAGTACTCTCCCACTTTTCCTATGGATGTGGCTTCCTGTGAGCTGAGCTGAAGTGATCGTTATCTCTCCTCTGGATTTAGCCACCAAGCAAGTCTACTAGGCTCCGGGCTGGTACTGAGGGTTGTCTGCACAGGGTTATATGATGTGAACCTTCTGTGGATCTCTCAGTCATGAATACCAGCACCTGTTTTAGTGGAAGTGGCAGGGAGGTGAAATGGACTCTGTGAGGGTTCTTAGCTTTGGTGGTTTAATGCACTATTTTTGTGCTTGTTGGCCTCCTGCCATGAGGTTGTGCTTTCCAGAGAGCATCAGCTGTGGTAGTATGGGGAGGAATAGACAGTGGGTGGGGCCCTAAAACTCTTGAGTATATGCCCTTTGTTTTCAGTTACCAGGGTGGGTAGTGAAGGCCCATTAGGTGGGGGCAGGACTAGAAGTGTCTGAACTCAGACTCTCCTTGGGCAGGTCTTGCTGCAGCTGCTGTGGGAGATAAGCGTGAGATTCCCAGGTCAATGGAGTTATATTCCTGGAAGGATTATGACGAACTTTACTGTGTCATGCAGGTTGTCAGGGAAATGGGGGAAAGCTGGTGGTCACAGCTTTATATCCAGCTCCCACCCAATCTGAAGGGCCAGTCTCACTCCCACTGTGTCCCACCCCTAACAGCACCAATTCTGTTTCCAGGCAGTGGGCAAGCAGGGCTGAGAACTTGCCCCAGGCTACCTGCCTCCCAGCTGGGAAAGCAAATATGGCTTTTCTTCTACCCCCACCGGTGGAGTCTGCACACCAGCTTCACGCCCTCCCCCAAGTTCTGGTCAGGAGGCTTCTTGATCAGTTCAAATTGTAACATAGTTCAGCTGAAGATTTCCTTTTCCCTGTGGCCTTTTCCCAGTGCCGCTGGCCACCCTCCTGGAGGACCCCTGTGAGGCTAGGCAGAAATGGGTTGCTAGGGGACACAGTGAGCTCCCAAGGCTTTTACCACTGCTTCCCCTACTCCCGTATTTCCCTCAGTTCTCCAAGTTGACTCAGCTTCAGGTAACATCAATATCTCCTCTTGATCTAGATCTTCAGTTTCCCCATTGGGCGGGGGGTGGTGTGTCCGGGGGTGGATGAACTTCCCACTTCCACAGTTTGGGCACTCACAGTATGTGGGGTGTCTCCTGGGTCCTGCAGGAGCAATCTGCTTCCTTCAGGGGGTCTGTGGGCCCTCTCAGGTCTCCTGATTTATCCCTGCTGTCATTCTGGAGCAAAAATTCAAGATGTGGGCCTCAAAACTCTCCTCTGTCTGTTCAAGTCAGAGCTGCAACCTAGTCCTGCCTCCCGTCTGTCATGACCCTCCAAAAATTCCTAAACGTTTTAAAATTTATATATAATAGATGTACACAGTTTTGGGCTAAATATGGTAATTTAATACATTCACATAAGTTGTAGATCAAATCTGGGTAAAGGGGGTGTCCATTATCTTAAATATTTGTCTTTTCTTTATGCTAAATATTCAAGTTATTCTCTTCTTGCTATTTTGAAATGTACAATAGATACATATACATGGTGAAGTGATTACTACAGTCAGGCAAATTAGCATAATCATCATCACATTTCTTTTTATTTTGTAGTAAGATTACCTAAAACTCACTTTCTTGGCAAATAACCAGTATACAATACAATATTAAATATAGCCTTCATGTTGTACATTTGATATCTAAACTTATCCATCCCACATAAATGCAACTTTGTACCCTTTGATCAATATCTCAGGACACCTTTCCCTGCCACCACTCTGGTAATCACTGTTTTACTCTGTTTCTATGTAGTCAACTTTTTAAAATGCTCTACATATAAATAAGATCATGAAGCATTTTTCTTTCTGTGGGTGGCTGATTTCACATACTGTAATGTTCTCTAGCTCCATCCATGTTGCTGCAAATGACAGAATCTCATTTTTTATTAAGTCTCAATGTTTTATTTGTGTGTGTGTGTATGTGTGTGTGTGTGTGTGTGTGTGTGTGTGTGTGTATGCCATAATTTCTTTATCTGTGGATCTATGGGAGGATTCATACATGGTGTCCCAACTTTCCTGAGGCTCAGCTATGGCTACCAGACCATTTGTTAGGTTAAATGAGTGAATAAAGTCCTCCTTTTTGTGACTCATTTTTCTTGCGTTTCTGGCACTAGCCATAAGAATCCTAATATACCAATAATCTTTAGGCAATATAGGCATCTTTAGAAATCTGTCAATGATAATGCATGTTAACTAATGATAAAGCAAAGTGGAGCTTGCTAAAGACACAACCAAAAAAAAAAAAACAACATTGTTAGAAATACATATTCAAGTCTTCCCAAATATCTACTATGGTATTTTGTGACTAATATGAACTCAGCACATGTTCATTAAATACCAGGAAAAGAGAATTGGGAGAAATGATCCATATTCCATATTGGAAAGATATAAAGTTACTTAAGCTAGTTTTATTTAAGTCATTTAAAATTAAGATGACTTATGTATAAAGTATATGCTTTATTTTAATTTTCATTTTACTTAACAGAACTCTGACTTCCACTACATGCTTCTGTAGTGGATACAGTTAATGTAGCTAATGATCAATAAGTAGCAATCAATACTATTAAACTATCAATGAATAAGGAGGAGAAATTTTCTCTATACAGTTGGCCTCTGACTTATGGTTTTTTTTACTTTAAAATGGTGTGAAAACGACAAGCCAACTCTCTTCTTGTTATGGGAAGCTGCACCAAGCTGCAGCTCCTAGTCAGCTATGCAATACCAGTTAAACCATCAACAAGTATCAATACCCAAGAACGTTCTACTAGCTGTTCTCAAAATTCATAGAAGAGAGAGAAATTGATGACCCTGTTGCTGTTGCATCGCCATAATCCAGCAAATAATTTTAGTTCAATGCTTTAAACATTCTTTAGGCCCAGTGTGCTTTTAGCTGTGTAGGTTAATAGTGAGACTCATGAAAACATTCTATTTTTTACTTTCAGTACAGTATTGAATAAATTACATGAGATACTCAACACTTTATTATAAAATATGCTTTTTGTTAGGTGATTTTTGTCAAAGTGAATGTTAATGTAAGTGTTGTAAGCATGTTTAAGGTAGGCTAATCATGTTTGGTAAGTTAGGTATAATAAATGCTTTTGCAATTTACTATATTTTCAACTTAAAATGGGCTTCTCAGGATGTACCCCCATCATAAGTTGAGGAGCATCTGAACCTCTTTTGTCTTTCATACATCCCAAGACAAATGTAAAAATAATAACTATAAAAAAGACAACTTTGGGTATTATAATTTTAGAAGGAAATATTATTACAAATTAAATCAGTGCATTTTTATGATAATGGACCTCATTTCATATGATGCCTTGAACACATAAAACACTCAGCAAAATATGGTAATTAATAAGCCTGGTTTTCTGTTTGATAGGTTCCCTAGAAATATTAAACATGTGAAATGGGAAAAGCCTTTGATAGTTGGCTTTGAAATTACATTAAATCAGTATCGTCATAGCTGTTCTATCACTCTGGAATCATGTCTAAGTTGTGATTTTGCAATGATCAGTGGTAGTATTCCAAGTAACACAAAATACTTTGGTAGAATTTATGTTGTATCTGAAACTGTAATGAACCTAGTCAGCTGCTTGGATCAATCAAGATTTTGTTTTAATTCAGAAAGAAAGCAGATGTAGATTTCCAGAGTTTGTTATCAGAGTTTGTGATCAAAGACATCAAATCAACTAAAAATATTTAGGGGGAGAGTGTGTGTGTGTGTGTGTGTGTGTGCCTGTGTGTGTAACAGAAATAGAATAAAGAGGAAGGAAAAATTACAAATTTAATTTTTATGGACTTACCAACAGTGTCCAGTATTAACTAACTGTAAATTCATGTTAATAATTTCCTATAGCTGTATTTTAAGATATTTTATCTCTGCCTTAAAATAAATGCACACATACATATAACTGAAAACATATTTGAGTATAGAAATACACAACATTACACTTTGTTCTTTACCCAATCCCTTCTTTTCAGATTCCTCTTTTCTACAACAACAATCCTAAGACTAATAATCAGCAGACATCAAATCAAGACATGTTAGGAGTCTTAAAATACTACCTGAACCTAGAAGTGTGGACATCTTACTTGATATATGTATGATATTGGGTAAAACAAAACACAAAATTGTCACGAGAAGCCAAAGCTATTAAAATAGACCTTTACTTTTTCACTTTCTTTTAATTCACTTGAGTGTTGAGTGCAGACATTGCATATATGGTAAGATTCATGCTGTTATTTCAAAATTATATTATCAGTTACAGATACATTCCATTTTTACATTTACCCTTAAAATAAGTGATGCCCTTTAACATTATGATGTGTGATTATACCACACAAAAAATGATGGGAAAACTTAACAACTAATATGAAAAATAAAAAGAAACTTAAAGACTAATTTTTGTTAAAAATATTTAAGAGCATTAGACAATTTCTCCATTTGGTTTTCACAAACTAATGATATCTATTTGGGATGCAGAAAACAATGGAGGAGGAAGGTGAAGGGGTACTAAGTTGAATGGCAAAATGGAATGGTTGTGTTTGTACATGGAAAACAGATAAGAGAACAGTAGAAGTTGCCTAATTTGCAGTTAGATTTTGTCTTGGCTATTACACCAAACTGTTATGAACATTTGTGCTTAGCTCTTTGTATAGATATAGATTTTGTTGTTGTTATTTAGAGACGGGGTCTCACTCTGTCACTTACGCTTGAGTGCAGTGGCATGATCATAACTCAATGCAACCTTGAACTGCTGGGCTCAAGTGATCTTCCTGCTTGGTCTTCTGCATAGTTGGGAATAGAGTCACATGCCTGGCTAATTCTGCACCACCATGACCAGCTAGTTTTTTTAAAAAAAATGTTTTTTAGAGAGAGGGTCTTGCTATGCTATCCAGTTTGGTCTTGAACTCCTGCCCTCAAGTAATCCTCCCATTCAGTTCCCTGAGTAGCTGGGATTATAGGTGTGAGCCACCAAGCCCAGCTCAGATGTATACTTTTATTTCATGTAGGTAAATACCTATGAGGAGAATGATTAGACTGTACCGTAAATGTATGTTTTACATTTTAAGAAACTGCCAAACTGGTTTCCAAACTGGTTGTAATATTTTATGTTCCCAGAAGGGTGTATAAGAGTTCCAGTTTCTCTATCTTGCCAAAAACTATTATGGTTTGCTTCTTAATTCTAGCCATTCTGATGCATGTGTAATGGTATTTCATGGTTGCCTTAATTTTCATATTTCTAATGACTAATGACATTGGCATGGTTTCATGTGGTTGTTTGAATATTTCCTTTGATGAAGTGTCTTCAGATACTTTATTTATAAAATTCTGTTGTTTGATTTCTTATTACTAAGTTTGAGGGTTATTTTTATATTCTGGACATAGTCCTTTATCACATATATAATTTTCAAATATTTTTACCTATCTGTGGCTTGTCATTTCATTCTCTTAATAGTGTTTTTTTTGTTTTTGTTTTTTTTGAAGAACAAACCTTTTCAATTTTGAGGAAGCCAAATTTATCAATTTGCTTTTTTTGTGAATTATGCTCTGGTGTAATAGCTAAGAAATCTTTGCCTAACTAATTTTTTTTTTTTTTTTTTTTTTTTTTTGAGACAGAGTCTCACTCTGTCGCCCAGGCTGGAATGCAGTGGCACGACCTCAGCTCACTGCAACCTTCGCCTCCCTGGTTCAAGCAATTCTCCTGTCTCAGCCTCCCAAGTAGCTGGGAAAACAGGTGCTCCCCACCACACTTGGCTAATTGTTGTATTTTTAGTAGAGTCGGGGTTTCACCATATTGGTCAGGCTGGTCTTGAACTCCTAACCTCAGGTAATCCACCTGCCTCGGCCTCCCATAGTGCTGGGATTATAGGCATGAGCCACTGCACTTGGCCTTGCCTAACTAATCTTAACAAAGATTTTCTCCTGTGCCTTCCTATAGAAATGTCATAGTTTTATATGATTTAAACTTATGTCTTTTTTATATTTTGGGTTAATTTTAGTGTGATGTGAGAGATATGAACAAGAATGTGTTTATTCATTTTTTGATATGGATATCAAATTGTTTAAGCAAAAATTGTTGAAAAGATTATCCTTTTCAACTGAATTGCCTTTGTACCCTTGTCAATAAGAAGTTGTTTATAAATATGTGAGTATTTCATCTGGATTATTTTTTATATTCTGTTACTCAATTTGTCTATCTTTATGACAATACAACACTGTCTTGATAACTACTATTCCACTAACTTTGCTTGTCTTTATCGAAATTGTTTTTGGCTGCTCTCAGACCTTCCCATTTCCATGTGGACTACCAGTTTGTCAAATTCTACCAGTAATTGTGCTTGGATTTTGATTGGCAATGCATTGAGTCAACAGATTAATTTGGGAATAATTAATATCTCAACAATATTGAGTCTTCTAATCCATGAACAAGGTATACCTCTTCACTTACTTAGGTAATCTTTAATTTTTCTCCACACTGTTTTGTAGTTTCTCAGCATTGTTTGTACAGGCTTTCCACAGTGAGCTTTTAAAGTCTATGTTTTAAGAAATATATTAATTCCATATATGATTAAATTCAGGAGCATCATGTTTTTGGATTGACCATTTAATAGCTGTAGAATATGTAGTAACATCATTTCTTCTATTTCTAAAATGATAATATGTATTTTTGTCTTTTTGTTCTAACATGGCAGATATTTGTCAATTTTATTGTTCTCAAATAGCAAGACTTTGGTTTCTATGGTTTTTCTCCTTTGTTTTCCTGTTTTTTTTTAAATTATGTTATTTTCCTCTCTCATTGTTATTAGTTCCTTTCTTCTACTTACTTGGTTTTAATTACCTCTTCTTTTACTGCCTTTTTAAGGTAGAGCTGAAGTCATTGACTCAAGACAACTCATTTTTTTTAATAAAGCTATTTAATGCAATAAATTTCACCCTAATACTGTTTTGCAGCCTTTCACAAAATTTAATATGTTACACTTTCTTAGTAATCCAGTTCAAAATATTCTGTAATTTTCCTTTGGTTTTGTCTTTGACTTAGGATCATTTAGATATGTTATTTAATTTAAAAATACCTATGGATCTTCCAATTATCTTTTTGTTATTGATTTCTAATTTAATTCCATTAAGATTGGAGGCATATTTTTTATTAAATTTTTCAAAAAAACTTTAAAAATGATTGAGATAAAACATTTTATGTTTTTATCTGATATCCTTTCTTCTGCTTCATCCAGCTATCGATACTTGTGTATGCTTCACAAAGTTGTCGTGCTGTGCTTTTCAGCTCCATCAGGTCATTTATGTTCTCTAGACTGTTTATTCTAGTTAGCAGTTCCTGTAACCTTTTGTCAAGGTTCTTAGTTTACTTGCATTGGGTTAGAACATGCCCCTTTAGCTCAGAGGAGTTTGTTATTACCCACTTTCAGAAGCCTACTTCTGTCAATTCGTCAAACTCATTCTCTGTCCAGTTTTTTGCCCTTGCTGGAAAGGAGCTGCAATTGTTTGGAGGAGAAGAGGCATTCTGGTTTTTGTAAATTTCAGACTTTGTGCGCTGTTTTTTCCTCAGCTTCGTGGATTTATCTACCTTTGATCTTTGAGGCTGATGACCTTTGGATGGAGTTTCTGTGTGTGGGGGTCCTTTTGTTGTTGATGTTGATGTTATTGCTTTCCATTTGTAAGTTTTTTTCTAACAAGCCCCTCTTCTGCAAGTCTGCTGGAGTTTGCTGGAGGTCAACTCCAGACCCTGTTTGCCTGGGTTTCACCAGAGGAGGCTGCAGAACAGCAAAGGCTGCTGCCTGATCTTTCCTCTGGAGGCTTTATCCCAGAGGGGAGCCCGCCAGATGCCAGCTGGAGCTCTCCTGTATGAGGTGTCTGTCAACTCCTGTTGGGAGTTTTCTCCCAGTTAGGAGGCATGGGGGTCAGGGACCCACCTGAGGAGGCAGTCTGTCCCTTAGGAGAGCTCCAGCACTGTGCTGGGAGAACCCTCCTTGTCAGGATCCACTGCTCTCTTCAAGCCAGTGGGCAGGAATGTTTAAGTCTGCTGAAGCTGCGCCCACAGCCACCCTTTCCCCCAGGTGCTCTGTCCCAGGGAGATGGGAGTTTAATACTGGGGCTGCTGCCTTTCTTTCAGAGATGCCCTGCCCAGTGAAGAGGAATCTAGAGAGGCAGTCTGGCCACAGCCACTTTGCCTTGCTGTGTTGAGTTCCGCCCAGTCCTTATTACTGTCAGGGGAAAACTGCCTACTCAAGCCTCAGTAATGGATGACGCCCCTCCCCCCACCAAGCTCAGTCATCCCAGGTGGACTTCAGACTGCTGTGCTGGCAAAGAGAATTTCAAGCCAGTGGTTCTTAGCTTGCTGGGCTCCATGGGAGTGGGACCTGCTGAGCGAGACCACCTGGCTCCCTGGCTTCATCCTCCTTTCCAGGGGAGTGAATGGTTCTGTCTTGCTGGGGTTCCAGGTGCCTCTGGGGTATTGAAAAAAAAAAAAAAACTCCTGCAGCTAGCTCAGTGTCTACCTGAACATCCACCCAGTTTTGTGCTTGATACCCAGGGCCCTGGTGGTGTGGGCACATGAGGGAATCTCTGGGTCTGCAGATTGCAAAAAACGTGGCAAAAGCATAGTATCTGGGCTGGATAGCACAGTCCCTCATGGCTTCCCTTGGCTAGGAAAGGGAGGCCTCCTGCTCCTTGTACTTCCCCGGGTGAGGCGCCCCACTCTGCTTCTGCTCTCTTTCTGTGGGCTGCATCCACTGCCTAACCAGTCCCAATGAGATGAACAGGGTACCTCAGTTGGAAATGCAGAAATCACCTGCCTTCTGCCTTGGTCTCTCTAGGAGCTACAGACCAGAGCTGTTCCTATTCGGCCATTTTGCCAGATCCAGTGCTTTTTAGTTTTATATATTCCCATTTGTCTGTTTTACTTTTGTTGCCTGTGCATTTGAAGGCTCAGCCATGAAATCTTTACCTAGACCAATGTCCTAAAACATTTCTCCCATGTTTTCTCCTAGTAGTTTTAAAGTTTTGGGTCTTACATTTATGTCTTCCATCAATTTTTAGTTGATTTTGTACATGGTGAGAGATAGGGATCTTGTTTTATAATTCTGCACATGGACATTCAGCTTTCCAAGGATCATGTACTAAGCACAGTGTCCTTTCTCCATTGTATGTTATTGGCACCTTTGTCCCAAATCAGAGGCTATAGATATATGGATTTATTTCTGGAGTCTGTGTTCTGTTTCATTTGTCTGTGTATCTGTTTTTATACCAATACCATGCTGTTTTGCTTCATAGAGCATTGAAGTATATTTTAAAGGCAGATATCTGATGTCTCTGGCTTTCTTATTTGTGTTCAGGATTGTATTGGTTATTCTGGATCTTTTATGGTTCCATATGAATTTGAGAATTATTTCTGTGCAGATTGTCACTGATTTTTTGATAAGGATTGCATTGAATCTATAGATTTCTGTGAGTAGTTTGGACATTGTAACAATATTAATTCTCAATCCATGAGCATGAGATGCCTTATCATTTCATTGTTTCAATTTCTTTCATCAGTATTTTGTAGTTTTTCTTGTAGAAGTCTTTTGTCTTCTTTTATTTCTATGTAATTTATACTTTTTGTGGTTATTGTAAATGGAATTGCTTTGATTTCTTTTTCACCTAGTTCATTATTGCTGTACAGAAATGTTACTGATTCTTCCCATTTCTTCCCCCTTTGTTTTTATGGTATTATTCTCATACCTTTAAGTAAAATACATGCTATGAATGCTTTAATATATTGTTATTGTTTTTATTGAAACTATTATTTTAAAGTGATTAAATATTTGGTGGATGCAAAAGTAATTGCAGTTTTTGCTATTAAAAGTAATGGCAAAAATAGCAATTACTTTTGCACCAACCTAATATTTAAAAGTCATATATTTACCCATGT
Source organism: Homo sapiens (assembly GCF_000001405.40). NCBI lineage: Eukaryota > Metazoa > Chordata > Mammalia > Primates > Hominidae > Homo > Homo sapiens. Next base: position 68,493,412 of record NC_000006.12, on the reverse strand, counting down.
AGTCAATATTTCTGTTGCTCTTCAATTCTTTCTCTAAGTCCAGAATTCCATCTTTTATCAGTTTTCTTTTGCGTGAATGATTTCATTGAACATTTCTTTTACTTCAGTTATACTGGTCATAAATATTTTCAGCTTTTTGTATTTGAAAATATCTGTATTTCCTCTTCATAATAAAAGCTATTTTCACTGGGTATAAAATTTCAGGTTGATAATTTCCTTCAGTATTTTAAAGATACTGCTCAACTGTCTTCTAGCTTACATTGTTTGCAATGTGAAAGCTCAGGTAATTCTTGTTTCTTTGTGTATAGGGTGAACTTTTTCTCTGTCTGCTGTTAACTTTCAAAAATTCTTAAATGTTTTATGCAATTTGATGATAATGTGCCTTTTTAGTTATTCTTCATGTTTTTGAACTTGTATTTTGTTGAGATTACTGGATAGGTGTATATAATTGTTCATCAAATTTTTAACTTAATATTATTTCTTCATACATTTTGTCTCCTTGTATTAGTCTTCTCCTTTGGCAACTCCAGTTACATTTATATTAGGCCCCTTTAGTTGTTCAACAGTTCAATGGTGCTCTTTTACATCTTATGTTTTTCTGTTTTATTTTTCATTATTTCTATCGCTATATTTTCCACTTTACTGTTTCCTGACCATTATTGAAGGATAAATAAAGAGAAAGCTCATCGCAAGCATCTTAGACAGCTTTGTGGTCTAAGAAAGATTTGGCAATGATATTGGGAAGTGCTAGAAACAAAGTTAGAAAGGAGTCCGTTTTCTCCCAAGAACAGTTCTGTCTTAGTATCACTGCAATGCTCAGTCTGCAATGCTCATCTCATGAGCTGTTTCATGAGCTGTTCCATTGACTGGAAACAGCTAATGAAAGTGTGACCTGGTTCAAATATAACACTTGATTTTAAAGTGCAGCAGCTGAAACTCTTGCTGAATCACACATCCACACAGGCATCACATATGTTTTAGTACTCTGAGGCTACTTTATTAATATTCTTGAATTGAGGAAGTAAATACATTGTGAATCATGGGAACAAGTTTCTCAATGTCAGAAAAGAGGAGTTATTATATAGAAAAAGGGAAGCATAGATTGCATTGTTACTGCATTTGCTTTTTTTTTACTTTTATATTGACATATATATAAAATTTACCATCTTTACCATTTTCAGATGTACAGTTCAGCATTATGAAAAATATTTATATTCTTGTTTTTCCTCTTTCTCTCCCCTCCCCTCTACCCTCCCAGGCTTGTTATTGCATTTGAATTGGAGTAATTAATATGAACTTATATTTTAAATATATATTTCTGTAAGTATAGAAATACATACAGATATAGCCGGGTGCGGTGGCTCACACCTGTAATCCAAGCACTTTGGGAGGCAGAGGTGGGTGGATCACGAGGTCAGGAGTTCAAGACCAGCCTGGTCAACATAGTGAAATCCTGTCTTTACTAAAAATACAAAAAATTAGCCAGGCATGGTGGTAGACGCCTGTAATCCCAGCTACCCAGGAGGCTGAGGCAGGAGAATCACTTAAATCGGAGAGGTGGAAATTGCAGTGAGCCAAGATTGCCACTGCACTCCAGCCCGGGTGACAGTGCAAGACTCAATCTCAAAAAAAAAAAAAAAAAAGAAAGAAATATACACAGAAATATATATAAACACACATACATACCACACTCACACACACACACACACACACACACACACACACACATTTCCTAGAGACATAAAATTCTTCTAGCATACAGGTCTTTGTTTCTAAATATTATTTTGAACTAAAAGGAACCAGGGTACCTTGAATAAATATAGTTTACTTCAGAGCTGGGGCTAGGAATGAACATTCAATAATGTTGTAAGGCAAGGATATAAAGAAATGTAAAATTATATATACACACACACAACTATTTTATAATATACGTTTATATGCATATTACAAATATATGTTTATAAACATGTATACATTAATATATGCATAAAATATATTATAAATAGGCTGGGCATGGTGGCTCAAGCCTGTAATCCCAGTACTTTGGGAGGCCGAGGTGGGCAGATCATGAAGTCAGGAGTTCGAGATCAGCCTGGCCAACATAGTGAAGCCCTGTCTCTACTAAAAATTCAAAAAATTAGCTAGGCATGGTGGCGGGCGCCTGTAATCCCAGGCTACTCAGGAGGCTGAGGCTGTAGAATCACTGGAACCTGGGAGGCAGAAGTTACAGTGAGCAGAGATCACCACTGCACTCCAGTCTGGGTGACAGTGAGAAACTGCATCTCAAAAAAAAATAAAAATAAAAAAAAAATATGTATACACATATATTTATAAAACACATAAATATACACAAACGTAATATAATATTTTGGTATGCCAAAAAACCAGCTTAATGGGATTCCCTGTGGCCAAATTTAGGAGAAATTAAATATCGATATAAATAATGATAATAAAGGTAATGGATTATAACCCACTGAATAAAAAATCATTGTGTCCATACCAATATTATTAAATAATACACATAAATGTGAGGAATCTCATATTTAAAGTATAAAGCCAATAATTAAATGTAGAAGAAATGATCGCATTAGCAAACCACTATTTGACAACTATCACGATAATACTTGATTTATATAAGAATCATCAAAGGACAATTACTGGTGTAATATTTGAGTATCAGGATTTTGCCTAATATCAAAGTAACTTTCCATGAAATAATCAATTAATCAAAAGAAACAAATTGTAATTTTTCATTGGAGGAGGCTGTAGAGCCACATTTATCAAGTGATCAAAATTAACTTCACTGGCAGTGGGTCAAATTGAAACCATGTGTTACGTGGCAGGATGCAAGGAGAAAAACATGACTTCCATGATATTCCTGCCAAAGATATATGATCTGAATCCATTTATGAAGAACTTCACACAAATCCAAATTAATGGACCTACTAAAAATACCTGGATTATACTACTCAAAAAAAGAAGCATAATGAAAAACAAAATAAGACTGAATTAAGTGTTACATATGAAAGGAAAATAAAGGGACATGAAAATTAAATTCAATATATTAGTCAGGGTATTGGTTCAGTATAAAGATAATTGTACAATTGCAGAAACTTAATAAAGTTTATACATCAGATACTATTGTATCATTCTTCATTTTCTGGTATTGATCATTGTGCAGGAAAACATATTGGTTTTTCAGAAAAACACTTTGGTATATTAGGAGCATCATATTTACAACTTAACCTCAAATAATTCAGAAAAAAATATAAACAGAGAGAGATAGGGACTAACAAAGCATATATGATAATATGTTAACAATGGAGGATTCTGAGTATATACTTCATCATATTATTATTGATAGTATTCTTGTAACTTTCTGTAAATGTGAAATTAAGCCAACATATAAACATTCTCTAAAAGTAAAAATAAAGTGGTACATGATTTACATTTACCAATCATATCTGAATTATTGGAGGAGAGGAGTGTTCCATAAAATTGGAAACAGGCATTTTACTTAATAGACATATAGGAAAAGAAAGAAGTCTGGTTTAGGATATTCAATTTAGGTCATTGAAATCCTATTGAGTATATACCATGTGCTGCACAGTATGCTCAAAATTGGAAAATCAAAGGAGGATAAGACCAGTGATAGAAAAAAATTTAGGATGTTATCATATGATACGGGACTAATAGATCAAGATATCAATAACATTTTCTTTTCATCTAGAAACATGTGTGATCTGAGAGATATGCCTATGACCTGACTTTTAGATAGATAGATGAGGATAAAACATTAGAAAGATGTCTGAGACAATGTCAAGGCCAAATAAAAATGTTCTCACTAGTATGCTTCTACAATCAATTATGAAGGTTGCTTTTGAATAATAACTTCTGCAAAAAACAATTGCATTGAAAAATTTCATTAATGTGTATTAACGTCATATTTATTAAATGCTTATCTTAGACTTTTCTAGATTCAGGACTACTAGAAAAATGAATAATTGAGAATTCACTAAATAATTTTTAAAATGGTTATTTTGAAAGTGTTTCATCTTTATTATTTTATTAAAATACACAGCAAAGTGAAAGGGCTAAAACCTGTCTAGGTTGAAAAGAGTAACATCTTGTTTTATTTTATTAGAGAAATTATGCAAGGCAGTTTATCACATTAAAATAATGAAAGGGTTAAATTGTAAATTTATATAAATATTTTGTGGGAATCATTTGTATGTCAGAGTTGTATAATCCTATGTTTATTTCTGAACAAACAATGTCAAGAACTTTTCAAGCTGACCGTGTTCCTTTGCTTTCTTGTAGCTCAGCAAAATAAGAGATAGGCTTTTTTGGGGGGAGAATTAAATGAATTTATTTTAGTTCTAATTTAAAATTGTCTTTCAGATAGCTCTCCTGAATACCAGTGCATCTGTAAAATTCTGAGTTCTGATTTTCATTTGACTCAATGTAATTACCATAATTGTGGTTTCCACAGCTAAGTTATGAGAAAAAGGAGGTTAGGGAGGATGGTATATTGATTAATTAGTTTGAGATTTCTGTGTAGAAATTCAAACAAGCAGATAAAAGCATCTGTTTTCAATTAAAGCAGGAAGTCAGGATTAGAGATAGAGATATCCAATATCCATTTATTCATTTATTAAATTAACATTTATTTATTGCTTCTATGTGCCAAAAACTTCTCTATATGTTATAATTATAAAGACTGACATGTAACGCCAAATGAGTATATTTCCAAAGAAATTACAATGTTGAAAGAGAGGAGAATAGGAGCAAAGACTAATCCTCACGTAATTACTATTGTTATATGCTGTCTAATGATGTTTTATTCAATGATGAACCACATAAATTATATAGGTCCCATAACACCATATTATTTTTGTAGCTTTTTTATGTTGAGATAAACAAATACATAAATTGTACTACAATTGCCTACAGTATTCAGTAGAGTAGCATGCTGTATGGGTTTGCAGCCCAGGAGCAATAGGCTATATCATACGCCTAGGTGTGTAATTGGCTATACCATTTAGTTTGTGTAAGCAGACTCTATGATTTTCACACAATGATAAAATTGCCTAATAATGCATTCTTCAGAAAGTTCGCCTGTTGTGAAGTGACACATGGTTGTATATATAAAATCTGAATAGAAGAAATAAGGCCCTAAATGGTTACACGGCAGTTCCAGAGAAATAGAGGAAGAACAGGAAGGAATAAAGGAGAAAAACTCCTTGCCATGGAAACCTTAAGGTATGATTGCTACACAGCATCAAATGCCTTACAAAGACCTATAGTGACTGAAGTTGGGGGTGTAAGAAAAGGCTAATATATTTCCCAAAAAAGCAGTAGTTTAATTAGTGACTTTTACAAGCTTGGTAGAGGCTGGGAACTGAAGCAAAACTTCAAAGATTTAATGAAGAAAAACATGGTGTTGGCTAGGGAACTGAGGATAAACTATTCTTTAAAGACGTTTAGCAAGGAACCTCCATAGTGTATTCCATAATGTCTGAATGTCTGTTCTAATTTACATTCCCACCAATAATGTTCAAGCGTTCTCTTTTAAAAGTGAAAGAAATCAGACACAGAAAGAAAAATATTGCATGATGTTACTTACATGTGAATTCTAAAACAGCAGAATTCACAAAAACAGAGCATAGCATAGTGGTTACCAAGGGCTAGGGTAGAAGTACGGGTGAGGAAAATGGGAAGATGTTGGTATATGAGTCAAAGTTTAAGTTTTGTAGTATGAATAAGCTCTACAGGGCTAAGAACAGCATGGTGACTATAGTTGATAATACTGTATTTTGTGCTTTTTATACTTAGAGTAGATCTTTAGTGCCTTCACACCACACACACACACACACACACACCTGTGAAGAGACAGCTATGTAAATTAGCTTGACTGTAGCACTTAGTTCACTATGTATAAATACCTCAACATGTCACATATTCTTAAATACATACAATTTGTATAAAAACTTTTAAAATAAAACTATTTAGCAAAGAAGGAAAGGAGAAAGTTTACAGTCATTTACAAGTAAGTGGTTAGTGGAAAGAAGATGGAGAATTGATTTATTAGAAATGGCTCATGAGAAATATAATACTATGGCAGCTGCTTTGTGTATTTATTGATTCCCAACTTCAGAGAGAACAAAAATGAATTTTGAGAGAAAGCGGGAGCACTTGGTGGGATATGAGGATATATTTCATACCCTACTATGATCAACATGTAAGCTGAAAAGTCTTTACTTCTTCAAGAATACGAAAATAGAAACAACATTATCATTAAAAAATAAGAATTTCTGTCATAAAAGGATACCATAAGATAATTGTGAGAAGATATTTTCAACTCATACATCTGATAGGGTTTATTTTCCAAAACATTTAAACAATTTCTGAACAAAAATCGTTAAGAATTGGATAAAGAAACCAACAGGAAAGAATAGAAGCCATAAGCAGATGTTTCATAGTAGACAAAACATTAATAACTAGTAAATATATGAAAGTTATTTAACATATTTAATAGTCAAGAAAATCAAAGATAATAAGATAATGTGAAACTCCACAGGATTAGGAAAACGTGAAATGTCCAATTCCATTTTTATTGAATGTTGTAGCAACAGGAATGCTTATCTACTACTAATGTAAGGATAAATTAACACAATGACTTTGCTACCTAACAAAGTTGGAGATGTGCATACCTAAAACCTAGCAATTTTACTGCAAGATTATAATTGAGACAATTTTCAAATGTGCACCAGGAGACATTAAAGAACAATCATAATCCATTTTTTGGAATTACAAAAAAAAATGAAAGCAACCTAAATGTCCAGATGCAGGAGAATGATTAAGTAAATTATGGTATATTACAATATGATATGAAGTACAGCAATATACATTAACAGGTCTTAGTATCAGAAAAATGATGCTCAATGAATGAAGTAACTAAGAGAATAAAGATCAGTATTATTCCATTTCTCTAAGTGCCATAAAAACATAAACAAAATACTACTTGGGGATACACACACAGTGGTAAATATACAAAGTAGCACAAGAGAAAAATTAAGTTTAGAATAACAAAAAGTCTGCATAGGGAAAAATGGAGATTTCATAGAAAAGAGTATACAAGTTTCTCAAAGGTATTTACGATGCTTTATTTCTTAATCTGTATAGATTATTGGGCATACTATACTTAATACCATTTTAGTTGTATATCTATATTTTATATACTCTTTACAGGTGATATATTTCATAGAACTAATTTTTAAAATGCTACGAATAGATGAATCCAAGCTATATCTATAAACCTCCATAAATTCCACAGCTTTTCAGAGGTTCACACCTTCACTGTGTAAACTATTGTCACCTTTTATAGTGACTCAGACTTCCGAGTTATACATATCTGTCACTAAATTTCAAATACAGCGATAGTATTTTTAAAGAATACTATTTTGCCTGCAACACCATTTAGATGTAGGTATAATATAGGAAAAGACCTAGAAGACATTCATAAGTACAACACTTTTATTGGAGGCCATAGTTTAAAATTATATTTAATATTAAATTGGACAATCTGGGTTTGAATGTCAGTTTTCACAGTTTTTAGTTGTTGTAGTCTCAGGGAACGCCCTCTCATTCCTGTTTTCTCAGTTAGCTAATCCATAAAAATGAGGATAAAAAGAACAGTCCCACACGATTGTAAAGTTTTTGCCTTTTTGGAAAAGGTAGTCAAGGTTTAGCAGCAGCAAGAAGAGACAGTGAAGAAAAGACACATTATTAAATATTGAAGATATAGTTTCTGAGGATGGATAATTTCTGAGATAAATAGAATATTCAGCCTTATTTTAATATACTCATGATAAAAAAACTAAAATAGATGTTCTGTTGATAGAATTTACATTGTATTTTTGGCTTTGTATTTTTAAACACATCACATTATAGAAAAAAAAAATGGCCGGGCAAGGTGGCACATGCTTGTAATCCCAGCACTTTGGGAGGCTGAGGCGGGCAGATCGCCTGAGGTTGGGAGTTTGAGACCAGCCTGGCCATCATGGTGAAACCCCATCTCTATTAAAAATACAAAAATTAACTGGGCATGGTGGCACGTGCCTGTAATCCCAGATAATTGGGAGGCTGAGGCAATCTCCTTGAACTCAGGAGGCGGAGATTGCAGTGAGCCGAGATCTTGCCACTGCACTCCAGCCTGGGCAACAGAGCGAGACTCTGTCTCCAAAAGAAAAAAAAGAAAAAAAAAGGAAAAAGAAAAGAAAAAAAATTGACCTTTTCTAGAGAACTTTGAAAATAGTAACTAACTTATGATACTCAAAAAACATTTACAATTAAATAGTAAAATTATTTAGGCATGAAAAACATGTATATTTCGCTATTTACAGTTAGCTGCTTTTATAGAAAAGATAGTTTAGGTTTAGTGAAGAGAAGTAAAACATTTGGCTTATTTGATCTATATAAACAATCCCAAATGTGAACTAGATTGCACATATTCATATTTTTTGAAGTCAGGAAATATACTTTTTAGAGTGTATAATCAAAGTCAATATTTTAATGTTAAAGAGAAAAAACTATAAATTTAGAAAAAATACATATATGGAATAGAAAAAAAACATGAAAATAGAGCCAAATTAGAGTTGCTTATTTGGGTAAAACCTTGTTTTATAAAATATATAAATGGAACATGTTCTTAAAATAAAATTTTACTTGAAGTTTCTAACATTAACAGATAAAAACGGATTTACTTTTGTGGAAAATGTTAGTGGGAAGGAGTGCCTCCCTGCCACTGCACCCCACTTCTCCCAACCATATATGCTGAACATAACTTCATAAATTCAGAAAAACAACAATAACAATGTTAATTTTCCAGAATCTCCTCTATTCTAAACATCTTTGCTTCCGGTAAAGAGTATGCCACTGAGCCAAAATGCAGGTAGGCAGACTGGTTACTAACCTAAAATGAAATAACTCTAAACAGAAACTGTACTAAAAATATAGTTTGGGATGTTAAGAGTTTGATGTGTCAGTTTGGACTGTAGATCACAGCTCAAAAAAGTAATGCTTGGTTTCTCTACTAAAGGGACTCCTCAGCTCCTTATGGGGCAGAATATTGACATTTGCTGGGAGCTAGAAGAAAATGGCAATAAAACTGAGATAAAGAGAGATCAGAATATAATCTACTCTCCTTTAAAGTGAAGCTTTCCTCGAAATGAAAGTATAATTGTCGAGTTTAGGGGATCTCCAAATATTTTATATTATGTATCTCTATCTGCTAATTTTTTTTCAGTGTGTACCCTCTAAATATATGTATATTTATTTATGCCTTTTAACAATGTACCGTATTGCTAGAAGTTTCACCACGTAAAATAAATCAAAACAGAATGAAAAAGAGGATGAAATAAAAGTAAAAACAAACAAATGGCAAATGTTTTTCTCCCATAGATCAATATAGAGACAATTGTTTAGGTTCTTCATGTCACATTGATTTTGTACCCTCCATTGTAATGTCTGTAAAAGGAATAGTTTGGAGTAAATAATCTTCATCAATGGTACATCTTTGTTAGATCTCCTAGGATAAAATCATGCATAATATTAGAGTAGGAAGATTATGAGATTTATATATAACATTTAAAAATAATAGTGCTGACAGGTCTTAAATATTTTAAAATTGCATGATATGCATTGGTGGGAGATTCAAGTTCTTATTTTTAAAAAGTCTTTAAATTTGTCTCGAACTAAATCAATTGAATGATTGCTCTTAATTTTATTTTAGCATATTTAATTTATTTTAATTTTCATCAAAATCATCTTTTGGAATCATTTGAATTCATATTAGAGATATTTTATTTTGAGTGCTATACCAAAATATCTAATGCACCCCCAAAATACATACATCTACTATGTACCTACAAAAATTTAAAAAAAAATTAGAAATGAAAAATAAATTTAAAAGAGGGAAAAACAAAAGTTAGACATGTTTATATGGGATGATCATAAATTCAAAAGCATTCTATAAAATCATTAAAATTATAATTTATTGAGTGTGAAGTGATTTGGAATTATAAAAATCAGTATGGTTTCTTCAAATATGTTTTGCCATAAGCAATGAAAAAAGCAGAGCTTTTAAAATAAAAAGGTGTTGCTCCACTCTTTTGGGTGATATCTTCATCTTAAGTAGAGTAAAGATAGTTATGTAAACAGTAAAACCTTAAGTCTCCAACCTTTATTTAAAATAAATAAATAAATAAATAAAACTCTGAAATCTCACTTGGTCGCTCTTTCCTTATTAACCTATAAGAGGCTTTCTGCATTAATATTACATAATTAAACACCCATAAAATTATGGGATTTAAGTCACCAAGTAAAAAGGTTTTATTACTACAGTTTTAAGAAGAAAACGTAAACTTTTCCTTTTCACAGATTATGCTTTTATCACTGTCTGCTGACAAAGTCATGCTTTAATTATTAAAAATGAAACTTTTTCAGCTATCCCTGGACATGTGATCCACCTTCTAAATTTGAATTATAAAGGAGTATATTTATTTTAGAAAAAGAGAATGACACTGTCAGGCTTAAACCAAGAAAATTCTCTTCCAGAAGAAAAAGTTGGCAAACAGAGCTTAAATAAACAATAAAATATAGTTGGCTAAGCAGATTTCTGAAGTAAAAGGAAAATAATACAGATATCCAGTTAATCTAATAAAATTAGTTTTTCTTAGCTTCCTTCAAACCTCCATGTTTTCTCAGTCGTAGGCACATGAAGAATTTATCTTCTATAATGTTTTGAAGAGTTAATATTTTGACAGCAGGTATGTTTTGCCATTATGACACATAACAATCATTTTCATAATTGAGATCTTATTGATACTATTGGAAAAACCTCTTCTGCTAAAAACAGAACAAAAAGATAATAGTCATAAGAGTTGGCATTTGTTGCATGTGAGTTATTGTGACTAGTTTGATTATACATGGATCATCTTACTAAATTTTACCTCTGTCTTGTGAGTTAGGGGCTATGATTTCCCTTGTTTAAAATAGAAAAAAGCAGTCTGTTTAGAAAGACTAAATAACTTCTCTGAATTCACATACTTTGTAAATATTGAAACAATGAAACTTAGTCCTATCATCAAACTAATTCATTTAAAATTTCCAACTATATCCAAATTGTCACACCAATTCAGCCTCTGGGATTTTGAATAGATTTTCAATTATGTTTTACAGATCGTTTTGAAAGTACAGAAAATATATATATATATATATCCACACTTATTTTTGCTCCTAATGAATTGGAAAGAACTACATTGTGTAGATGGTGAATATTTACTTTTTATTTTGGGGGGTACATAGTAGTGTATATATTTATGATGTACATGGTATACTTTGATACAGGCATTCAATGCATAATAATCACATCATGGCAAATAGGGTATCCATTCCCTCAAACATTTATCTTTTGTGTTACAAACAATCCAATTATAGTCTTTTAGTTATTTTTAAATGCACAATTTAATTATTTTGACTGCAGCTACCCTGTTATGCTATCAAACACTAGATCTTATTCATTCTTTCTAATACTTTTTGTACCCATCATTAATCCCCACTTCCCTCCACTCTCCTACTTTTCTTTCCAGCCTCTGATAACCGTCCGTCTACTGTCTATCTCCATGAGGTCAATTGTTTAAAAATTTTAGTTCCCACAAAAAAATTAGAACAAGCAAAGTTTGTCTTTCTGTGTCTGTCACAACATAATGATCTCTAGTTCCATCTATATTGTTGCAAATGACAGTATTTCATTCCCTTTTTATGGCTGAATAGTAAGTACTCCATTGCGTATATGTACCACATTTTGTCTATTCATCTGTTGACATACATTTAGGGGGCTTCCAGATCTTGGCTATTGTGAACAGGTGTGCAACCAACATGGGAGTATAGATATCCCTTCAGTATACAGATTTCCTTTCTTTTGGGTATGTACCTAGCAGTGGGATCGCTGGATCATATAGTAGCTCTATTTTTAGTTCTTTGAGGAACCCCCAAAACTGTTCTCCACAGTGGTTGTACTAATACCAATATACATTCCCATGATATGGTTTGGCTGTGTCCCCACCCAAATCTCATCTTGAATTATAGCTTTCACAATTCCCACATGTCGTGGGAGGGACCTAGTAAGAGGTAATTGACTCATGGGTGAGATTTTTTTCCCGTAAGATTTTTTTGTGATAGTAAGTTTCATGAGATCCGATGGTTTTATAAAGGAGAATTTCCTTGTACAAGTTCTCTTCTCTTGCCTGCCACCATCCATGTAAGACGTGACTTTGCTGCTCTTTTGACTTCTGCCATGATTGTGAGGCATCCCCAGCCATGTGGAACTGTGAGTCCATTAAACCTCTTTCCCTTCTAAATTACCCAGTCTCAGGTATATCTTTATTAGCAGGGTGAGAACAGACAAATCCACCCACCAAGTGTACAGGTTTCTTTTCTCCACATCCTCACTAGCATTTGTCATCGCCTATCATTTGAGTAAAAGCCATTTTAACTGGGGTGAGATAATACCCTACTGTAGTTTTCATTTTTACTTCTTTGATGATCAGTGGTGCTGAGCACCTTTTCATATGCCTCTTTGCTATTTTTATATCTTCTTTTTAGAAATGTCAATTCATATCTTTTGCCCATTTAAATCAGATTATTAGCATTTTTCCTATAGAGTTGAGCTCCTTATACATTCTGGTTTTTAATATCTTGTCAGGTAGGTAGTTTGCAAATATTGTCCCCCATTCTGTGAGTTGTGTCTTCACTTTGTTGATTGTTTCCTTTGCTGTGCATAGTCTTCTTAACTTAATGTAATCCCATTTGTCCGTGTTTGTTTTGATTGCCCGTGCCTGTGAGGTATTTCTCAAAAAGTTTTCAACCAACTCAGTGTCCTTGGGAGTTCCCCCAATGTTTTCTTGTAATAGTTTTATAGTTTGAAGTCTTAGATTTAAGTCTTCAATTGATTTTAACTTTTGTATATGGCAAAATATAGGGGTCTCAACGTTGTTTTCTCAAAAGACTGCAGTTTATTGTTTACATATTTGTTAAGAACACATGTTTTGAGTTCAGACTGCCTGAAATCAAATTCTAGCTAACTAGGAAAAATTATTTAATTTCTCTTTACATTAATTTTATCATCCATAAAATAGAGATGATATTGATCCAGGATTGGTGTGTTAGTCCATTCCTGCTACATCAAAATACCTTAGACTGGGTAGTTTATAAAAAATAGAAACTTATTTTTTACAATTCTGGAGGATGGGGCATCCAAGATTGAGGCACCAGCAAATTAGCAGATTCATTGTCTGGTGAGGCCTCACTCTCTGCTTCAAAGGTGATGCTTTCATGCTGCTTTCTTACCTGGTGGAAGTGAAAGGAAGCTCCCACCAACCTCTTTTATAGGGGCACTAATTCAATTCATGAGAAAGGAATCTTCAATATTTATTCACCTCTTAAAAGGCCCTACCTCTAAATACTGTCACATTTGGGGATTAAGTTCTAACATATGAATTTCAGGGACACATCAGTATTCAAATCATAGCAGTCAGTCACAAGATTTTGGTGAGGAATAAATGAAACATTTGTTGTCCAAAAGACCACCAAAATGGCTGAATAGTAGAAAGGAAATTTTTATTGGTGATATCAGCTTGCAAACTCGGAAGAAACAGTCTCTAGTAGGAACTGAAGGTGCTCTATCTTTGAAGAGGGAAAGGGCAGATGGGTATTTATTTATTTCTTTATTTTCTGAGACGGAGTCTCGCTCTGTCTCTTAGGCTGGAGTGCAGTGGCGCAATCTCGGCTCACTGCAAGCTCCGCCTTCTATGCTCCCGCCATTCTCCTGCCTCAGTCTCCCGAGTAGCTGGGACTCCAGGCACCCGCCACCGCGCTCGGCTAATTTTTTTTTGTATTTTTTGGTAGAGAGGGCAGATGGGTTTTATGACTCACAGAGTCATACATATTCAACATGTTTCTGGAAAATTCTATACATATTTATGAGGGTGGTCAAGTGTATGCACAATGTATAAATATATATGTAACATGCATCCCATGTTCAACTTGGGGTGGGGTTTTGTAATTAAAATGAGGTGGAGTCTGGGTTGTAAATTACTTTAGGAAGGGGCTGACATTTTGCCTAATAACTCTTGTAGTTAGGGTGTTAGCTTACGAAGAGTGTGATTTTAATTATAGCCATAGGAATTTAGAAAATTGTCATGGAAGCTGGTTCCTGAGCCTTCAGCCTGTAGGTAACTTTTTAGTTTTCTTAACCTTAGGGTCCAGATTATTTGATAAAGCAGCATCTATTTTTGTCTCTCTGATCATACAATGCACGTTAAGTAAAACTTCAATCACCTTAAGCTGCCACTGTTATTATCATTCTTGGAGGAGCACTTTTGAAGAGTGGAAAAGTTTATCAGCTTTGGAAAGCGATTAATCTGCATAAGAAACTCAGCTCTGATCTTTCCTAGTTATATGACCTTGGGCAAATATGTAATCTCTTAGAATTTCACTTTATCTGTATTTTAAAAATATGTGAAAATTATTGCTCTTAAGACTACTGACTTAGATAACATATACAAAGTGCATAATAGTGTTAGCTACATTGTACATTGTATATTTTCAATAATGTAAGTTTTTCCTTGATCTTCCCTAGGTACAGAGTGAATTATATCTCTGATTTTAAAATAAAAAAAAGATAGACCCTTTTATTAAAAAGATGATTCATACTACTTAGTCCAAATTTTTGAGCTTTTTTTTTTTTTTTTTTGGTTTGGTCTTTTTTTTTTCTTTTTTTTTTTTATTATACTTTAAGTTTTAGGGTACATGTGCACATTGTGCAGGTTAGTTACATATGTATACATGTGCCATGCTGGTGCGCTGCACCCACTAACTCGTCATCTAGCCTTAGGTATATCTCCCAATGCTATCCCTCCCCACTCCCCCCACCCCACCACAGTCCCCAGAGTGTGATATTCCCCTTCATGTGTCCATGTGATCTCACTGTTCAGTTCCCACCTATGAGTGAGAATATGCGGTGTTTGGTTTTTTGTTCTTGCGATAGTTTACTGAGAATGATGATTTCCAATTTCATCCATGTCCCTACAAAGGACATGAACTCATCATTTTTTATGGCTGCATAGTATTCCATGGTGTATATGTGCCACATTTTCTTAATCCAGTCTATCATTGTTGGACATTTGGGTTGGTTCCAAGTCTTTGCTATTGTGAATAATGCCGCAATAAACATACGTGTGAATTTTTGAGCTTTTGAGAAACTCCAATATTGATGTTTCACGTATAGCCAAAGAAGTATTTTGTGAATTGTAAAAGACAATTGTTTTACATCTGTTCAAAAAATACCTATTTAACACCTATCAGATGTCAAACAATGAATTAGGCTTTTATTATTAATACAGTACTATGTCTGTAGTTAAGCAAAAGTAAAAATTTTAGTATGATGTTCTAAAGTGCTGTGATAGTAAGATAAAAATATGAGTGGCCATAACCATAAAGGGATTAAGTAGCTGGTATGCAAGTAGAGAGAAGTTTGGGATAATGCCAGGGATAGAACCTGGATGGAACCTGGAAAAATGAATGAATAAAAATGCTGTTAATTGAAAGGGAGTTAGCCTGAGAATAGGCTAATGGATAGGATGTGGAACATCCTGGCTGCTGCAGGAAACTGTAAGAAGATGGACATAAATAGACATTGGAGCATGAGCTAAGGGGAAATAAAAGAGGGTTTTAGGGACATAGATCAGAGGCTTGGGTCTCATGCTAAGAAGCTCTGACTGTAGCTTTAAGTTTCCTTAAAGGAAACAAAGAGGAGGGAGAAGAGTCAGTGCTCTTGTATCTTCCTCAGTTTTCATTCAAAACAACATTTTAAAATATGTCTTACAATTTGAAGTTTTGTGGAATTAATTAATTGATAAGTATTTATTGAGTGTTTGTCATGTGTCAGGGGCAGTTCCAAGCACTAGATATTCAACCATGACCAAAACAAAAATCTCTGTCCATGTAGAGCTTCTCGTCTAGGGAGAGAAAGGCAGTCACTAATCAAGAGAAATAAGTAAATTGTAAAATATCTTACATGGTAATTAGAACTAAGGTAAATAATTAAATGAGAAGATAACATGTGCGGGGTGTGAAAATTTAGAAAAGGTAGCCAAGAAATGTATAATTAAGAAACTGATATTTGGGTATAAATATTTAAAAATTGTAGCATAAACTATTTTGCTCTTTGAACTAGTAATCTTTTTTTTAAAATAACACAGACTGAAGACATCATTTCAGTAAATAAGTATAATCAAATTCTCAGTTAAAATGGAACAGCCTGGCTGCAGCATGTAAAATAGATTTAAGCTGGGCAAGATTCTAGGCAACAGAATCCATTCAGAGGTTGCTGAGAAAGTCCAGAATTCATGGCAAATTCCAGCAAAAATCGTAGGGCTGGGGAAGGAGAAGTGGCAAGGAAGATAGGGCAGATGCAAGAAATTCTTAGGAAATAAAATTGGCACAGCTTTGTAATGAAATGCATGTAGAGGATGACAAAGCATAAAAGCTAGAATCATTCCTAGATTTCTGAATGAAGCAGTAGGGGACAGATTTTAACAAAAGAAAGCTTAAAAGTGGTATGGCAAGACTGTCAGCTTCGTGAAAATTCAGCTCACCAGCTATCTAGTATATAGTTCAGTAATATATTCCTGAATATAATGCCTGCCATATATAAATCCAGTAACTTTTTTTTCACTCAATGAATGAGTAGGTTATATTTAATTTGAAGTGATTGGGACTCTGAGGAGTTAGATAAATGGGATGCTAAAGAAAAATCCTGGAATGAATATATGAATTTGGGAGTCATTAAAATCAAAGCAGTAGTTAAAACCAAGAAAATGAACAGAGTTGCAAAAGCAATTATGTTTGCAGATATTGATAGACTTGGATGGATGACATATGTGAACATAAACCCTAAAGTGGTGGGGCAAGAATAGTAAAGACCGATTATATCTTTCCTTTAGATTTCACTTGTGAGCATTTTACATTTATTCTCTCCTCTTTCTCCTTCCTTGCTTTCACTCTGAGAGTGAACTGCAGACATTATGTCTCATCATCCCCAAAAACTTCAGTATGCATTTAAAAGGACACAGCTACATAAACACAGTACTATCATCTAAATTAGGATATTAACACTGTTAAAATACAATAATCTAATTCACAGATTCCAGTCAGAAATCACTAGTTGTTCTAATGTCATTTATAGAAAAAGGTTCCTATTCACGAGGATACACTACATTTATTGTGCCTCTTTCAATTTGGAAGAATTTTTCTGATTTCCTTTGTCTATCAGGATCTTGGCATAATTGAAGATTATAGGCCAATCATTTTGTAGCAAGTTCCTCAATTTGGGGTTGTCTGTGTTTTTCCCAAGGTGAAATTCCATGGTCACATATCTTGAAAAATGCAGCTGTAGAAACCTTCTTCTTCTTCCTCTTCTTTTTTTTCGTGAAACTAAGGTAACACTCATTTAACATAAAATTAAACATTTTAAAGTGAACAATGGCTACACCAGGAATGCTGGTGTCATCACTACCATGCTCGGGAATGAGAAATAGTATGCAAGTGAGCAAAAATGCCACAATGCTCTCTTACTAAAAAGCAACTGCCCTACTCTTCATTAAGTAGTCTTCCATTTGCTGTAAGTTTTGGATTAGATTCTAGAATTCTGAAAAACTGTATTCTATCAGTTATTGCCAGTTTGAATGGTTTCAATGGAGGGATAGTTCCTTTGAGTGCCTTATTCTTCCATTTCCATGATATTACTACTATAAAAATATTGTCTTCTACATTTATTCATTGTCTATGATGTTTAATCTTTACCAACATATTGAATTCTAAATCTTAAATAGAAATTCAGTTCTACTTCTTTGTACAAGTATTTGTGTTTTTATGGAATATCATTTGCCTTTTTGATATCAAATACCTTCATATTCTTCAGACTTTCTATAATCAATAACTTGTTTTATTTCTTTCTATTGAAATTTGAGTTTAATATATTGGTGTAGTGACCTGAAGTAAGATTCACTTTCACAATGATCTACACTGTTGGAAATGGATAAGTACCAATTTTATTCACCTATCAACATTCAAGCACTACAGAGGGGGGCATTGAAACAATATTGTGACCATTTATATAACTCAAAAAAAATTATGTTAGAACATAGCTGACTCTCTTTATCTGTGGGTTTTGCATCTGTGGATTCACCCTAACGTAGATTGAAAGTATTTGAAAAAAGTAGATGGTGGCATCTGTACTGAAAAAGTAGAGATTTTTTTTTCTTGTCATTGTTCCTTAAACAATATAGTATGACAAATATTTATGTAGAATTTACATTGTATTATGCATTATAAGTAATTTAGAGATGATTTAAAGCATACAGATGTATGTAGATTATATATGCAAATACTATACAATTTTATTTTATTTATTTTTTGAGACGGAGTCTTGTTCTGTCACCCATGCTGGAGTACAGAGGCGTGATCTTGGCTCACTGCAACCTCCGCCTCCTTGGTTGAACCGATGCTCCTGCCTCAGCCTCCCAAGTAGCTGGGACTACAGGCTTGCACCACCATCCCCAGCTAATTTTTGTATTTTTAGTAGAGACGGAGTTTCACCATGTTGGCCAAGGATGGTCTCGATCTCCTGACCTCGTGATCTGCCCGCCTCAGCTTCCCAAAGTGCTGGGATTACAGGCATCAGCCACCGTGCCTGGCCTATAATTTTATAAAGGGACTTGAACATCTAGAGAATATGCTCTCTGTGGAGGGTCCCAATCTCCCATGAATACCGAGAAAGTACTGTGTTTACTATTTAAATTTTAGCAAGAGTTTGCTTTGGTACATGTATAAATTGGACCATGCATTTCTATATAACTGATTCTGAGAATAGGATGCATAAACATCCCTTAAGATAATACACATAAATTTGGGGCTTTCTGGTTATCATTTCTTTTTTTAATTTAATAAAAGTTAACATTTATCTGTATTTTTCTGATACAACAGATTAATATAGAAAAAGGTTTTTTTTTTTTACCTTTAGTTCTGAATGAAATTGTTCAAATTAGAAAAGAATTGCATTTAGTTAATGCAATTGGCCACAACCAACCGTAAACATTACCTCAATCACATAGTCACCAATAAAATTAGTTCAAGTGATGATGCTTATTATTCTCTACGTGCTATTGCTCACTCCAACATACACCTGGCTTGAGTAATCATATAACATAAGGATTCAATTTAGAAACTTAAATTATAAATTATATGTTGAGTGAATCAGGCCAGACTCCTTTTTTAATGGAAATAATAAATGATGGAAGTTATAATTTCATTACAAAAGAAACATTTTTGGGTTAATTGGATTGAGATAACTGAGTTTTCACTACGTTTTTGAATTCTATTTTTTTTCTTTTCAAGCTTATATAGACTTTATTTTATCTCTACAACTATATTTAACTCTTTGGTTTTCTTGAAATCCTCAGAAAAATATAACAATTTTTTCCAATCTGCTTAGCCATGCTTTATAATTTTATTCTTTGCTATTTTTTCTCGACAGCTGCCAGACAACAGATAGCTAGTCCATTTGGCTTACACACCAAGACCTGCTTCTCCTGCATTTTGCTCCATTGCATTGAGATCTTTTATTAATGTCTAACTACAGCAGCCTCATGTCTCTGGACTACAAATGAGAATTACTCAGGGAGAGGTCTGGAATTTGCACCATTACAAACTGGAACAGGGCCAAAGGTTGACTACTTGGTTTTGAGTCTAGTGACAGATTTAGTATCTGATTTCTCAAGAAGCCAAAGATTTGAAACACATTAAAAGCCTTCCCTATTCCTCAAGATCTGCGATATTATTATAACCTGAAAAGTCAGCTATTATCTTATGAATTTGACAATTGGTGGTATCAAATAAGAAGATTATATGAAAATAATATAATCTTATTTTAGTGCACCTAAAAGAGAGGAAAAATAAACAAGAATTTTTTTTTTCTGCATTTGGTTGTATTAGGATAAAACTCTTTAACTCCAAGGAGATGAGTTGCTGAAATTGTAATCTAGTATTATCTGGGTACAAAATTTTAAAATAGGTTAAAATGAGATAATTCTGGAGATAAGAACCTAGAGTAAAAGGGACAGCCCTATTTTAGTCTCCTGGTCAAAATATATTAATACAATCAAATACTTTCACTATGTGTCAGATATTATACTAGAAATTTTGCATGCATTATTTCAGTTAGTCTATATGCTAACTTTATGAAATAGCTGTTTTTCTTCCACATTTTTTAGAAGTGAAAATGGAGGATTATAGATCTTATGTAACTTGGCTAAGTAACATTCTCATGAATAATACACTAGTAAGGAGAAAGTATAAATTCATTATCCTTTTGAGGTAGATATCCTATACGATAACACATTCCATGCCAATAAAAAGTGTGATATACATCTTCCTTTAGATATCATAAATAGCAAAACGATCTGATAATTCATGGAATTTCATCATCATCTCCCTAGAGATAAAAGTATTAAAGCCAGAAAATTGAGGCAGTATGTCTACAGGCATACAGATTATATCTGATAGAAATTGATACAACTTTGTACATGACTTCAGCTTCATAACTTTTAGTTTTGTTTTTTCATTTATCATGTGAAAATGTTGAAAATTTAGAAAAGAAAGCTCTGAATTGTACTGAAGAATTAGTGAATGCTTCCGAACAATTGGACAAACAAAATTCTGGGGAATTGGAGATGGTGACATGGTCAGTACAGAAAAGGCACTATTATTAGAGGTATCAACCCAAGAGGAAGAAAGTCATTCACAGTTGCACCCACAGTTTGCCATCATACTTTTCTCTAAAACAACAAATCAGTCTCAGATTATGAGTATTATAGCACATAAGCATGTTGTGATGGTTAATTTTTTTTGTGTCATGTTGACTGATCCACTGATTCAAACATTATTTGGGATGTTTTTGTGAGGGTGTTCTTGTATGAGATGAACATTTAAGTTAATAGACCAAGTAAGGCCAAATATCTTCCCTCATGTTGTTGAGTTTCATCCAATCAATTGAAAGCATGAATGGAACACAAAGGCTGATCCTCCCCTGAATAAGATAGGATTCCTTCCACATGACTGCCCTGAAATTGGCCATTGGCTTTTGCCTGCCTTTGTGCTCAAACTGGAACATCAGCTCATGTGTTTTGAGCTTACTGGCCTTAGGAAGAAAAATACACTGTCAGTTCTCCAAGTTTTTAGGCTTAGGACTCAGGCTAGAACTACCATTGACTCTCTTGGGTCTCCAGCTTTCTGACTCAGCATGCAGATCATGGAACATGGCAGCCTCCATAACTACATGAAATAATTCCTTATAGTAAATCTTTTTATTATACATACATCCTATTGGTTCTGTTTCTCTGAAGAACCTTTACTAATATATATATTATTACCTATTTCTACTTTTAGTATGCAGAGTTTCATTTTTATTATTATTCTGATTAGGAGGAATAGTCTATATTTTTAAATAAAAAATTAATTCCATTAAGAAGATGTTATAATAATGCCAACTCCATAAAATTTGTGTATTCTGGCTGGGCATGGTGGCTCATGCCTGTAATCCCAGCACTTTGGGAGGCCAAGGCGGGCGAATCACCTGAGGTCAAGAGTTTGACACCAGCCTGGCTAACATGGTGGAACCCTGTCTCTGCTGAGGATGCAAAATTTACAAAATTTAGCTGGGCATGGTGGTGGGCACCTGTAATCCCAGCTACTAGGGAGGCTGAGGCAGAAGAATTGCTTGAACCCAGGAGGCGGAGGCTGCAGTGAGCCCAGGTTGCACCATTGTGCTGCAGCCTGGGCAACAAGAGCAAAACTCCATCCCCCCCACCAAAAAAAAAAAAAAAAATGTGTATTCTGATATTAAGTCATACTGTAAAATATGAAGTAAAATGTGATGTATTTTGATTTTTATTTTGGCTTTGGTGATCTATATTAATGCTGTCCTACAAACTATCAGTTATGGCCCTTAGCTGTTATGACTTGGGTTATAAATTTTCTTTATAAAATTTCTTAAAAAGTAGAAAGTATGCAAGACATTTTTCTGTAATGTACTACCCCTCTAAAAAAATACCTATAGAAAAACATTTTGTAAATGTCTTCTTTAACTAACCATTAGCCCTACGTATATTTTACCTTTAATAAATATTTGATGGTGTAGTCTTAAAGAGTTATTTATGTATTCATTTTCAGTCAGTATAGTTTGATTTCAAAATCAACCATGATATAAGCAAGCAAGCACATATGTACAAAATGAAAACATCATACAATGAACAAAGAATCTAGATTTAACTAGCTCATTAAAATTTCCCTCTGACTTAGCTGGGAAATAAGACATAAAAAATTATGAATGCATTATAAACATCATAATTTAATAGCAGAAGGTTCATAAACTTAAGATAAATTTTCTGTGGAACTACTAATAACTACTACCATTTATTACAGGCATATTGTGTACTAGACATTACACTAAGAAAGTTGTTATAGGAAATTAGAGGTGGCTCCCCTTACTAGACCAGATGATATTTTGATCCTTTTATTGATGACAGTGGCTGTAAATTTCAGGACACCAGCAAAGACTAGCCAAAGGGTTTCACCAAATATTTTACTCCCTAATAAGAAAATATTAACTTATTAGTTGATATTTTCTGTACTTCTTTGGCTCTCAGGCTGAAGGTGAGTGGCTGCATTTTAAGAGAGTTTAGTCCAGGACTGATGACAAGGTTTTCTACATTTTAGATCAGTGTTTCTCAGTTTTGGTTGACCTGTAAAATCACCTAGGCAACTTTTTAAAAACACATAGTCTCAGAACTCCTTCTCAGAATTTCTAATTTAAATAGTCTGATGTTTGCCATGAAAATATATTTTAGAAGACTTCCCACTATATTCTAATGTACAGGCAGACTTGAGAACTACTGGTACAAATGGAGGGGTAATGGGACCTCTTTTTAACTCTCTTCTTGGCTAAAAGGGGAGATAGTTGCTGGTATTCAGCTCTCTCCTACAGCTCTCAAAGCTTATTCTCAGTAGATATGATTTGAGAAAAGACACATTATTTCTCATCTTGTTGATGCTATTTGACCTTAAATGCAAGAGTAATCCTCTTCCTAAATAGGGGAGACAAAAGGATAAGTCAAAAAAATACTTAAACCAAGGAAATTTAAGTACAAAATTTGCATCTGTTATTCATTCAAGTGTAAATATAGCTCCTGTTCCAAAAAAGGAACGACAAAAATCACAGGATGCATTGACATTTGGCATATTTTGTATAGGATCAAGTGTAATACTCTTTATATCTCTCACAAGGAGCAGAGATTATTACATGAGCAAGCAATGGGGGAGGGTGGCTTAGGACTGTGTAAAATTTTCCTAAGGATTAACAGATTACATAAAGGAAGAGCCACTGGACAAGGCTCTGAAATCCCACTCAAGCTCCGTTTGATAGATCCTGTACCCTCGCACAGATCAGTCAGCAGAAAGGATGTAGTGCCATTTTCTAATTGTTCTACCTGTGAATAACATAGCTCTTAACTACTTATTAGTCTCATTGCCTTAAACTACATAGTTAACCTTTGTGTGCCCCAGTTTCCTCATCACTAAAATGAGAATAATAATACCTTATTAAGTGACTAAGGAGATCAAATGGGTTATTATTTGTAAAGTACTCAGAACTTCCCCTAAAAGTTAATAAAATACAAGGGCTTGTTAAATAAAATAAATGAAAAACTAGGCCCTTTTTCAAGAGCAAACTGTTTTGGTTCTACAAGAGATAGTTCTGTATGTTCAATTACAGACCTCCAAACAATTCTGTCATCTCTATTTGATTTGGGTATTACCACAATTCTATATAGTAAATTTTTTTCTGCCTTCAAAGATAAAGAAAGTGACCTAGAGAAATTAAGTACTTATACAAATTATATACTTAATAATTTGCAAAGCTGGAAACTAGTTATCACTTACAGCTGATATAAGGACTGTGCTGTTACTGAAAAATTAACTTACTTTACGATTCTATGTATAATAAAGTAGAATGTAGGGTAAATGGCATAAAATAACTAGTAAAAGGACCATTTCCTTGTCAACCTGGATGTTTAACTGAAACTGCAGTACCCTTACCTCTAATACCTTCTATCTCATTTTCCTCCATTTTTTCCTCTTGGCATATAATACTGTTTAACTTATTTATTTCTCATATTTATTTTCTGAATTTATATTAGTTTTTAAAATCTGCAAGGTAGGCATTTGGGGTACATTTTTTTTTCAGTGCCCAGGTATAGGCAAACAATAAATATTACCTGGAAGAACAAATGTATGAGCCCTCCTTTTCCTCAGCAAAGATATACTTTTTTTTAAAATGCTATGAAAATGTTTACTGTTAATTTTTTGCTCAGTAGAGCTTGACAACACTAGATGGGTGAATAATTAAATTGGCAATAACATGTCCCTTTCAGTTGTCTCAAAAATTAAACCATTAGAAGATAGTGAAGTAAAATCAGTTACTACAGTGAAACCTTGAGCAATTCAGGGGCTAGGGGGCGCTGATCCCCCATGCTGTCAAAAATCGCATATAACTTTTGCCTCTCCACATGTTTAACTACTGATAGCCTACTATCAGTAGTTGACTGGAGGCCTTACTGATAAACAGTTGATTCACATATATTGTATATGTTATATGTATTTTATATTGTATTCTTAAAGCAAGCTAGAGAAAAGAAAATGTTGATTAAAAAATTAGTAAGAGAAAATACATTGGCAGTATGGTACTATATTTGTCATTACCATAAGTATATGTAGTCTGTTTACTAGATGACTCATCTGTCAGTAACGGGCAATTGCAGCTGAAGACCTCAATCTATGGTACATATCAAATGTTAACA
This sequence comes from Homo sapiens, assembly GCF_000001405.40. Lineage (NCBI taxonomy): Eukaryota > Metazoa > Chordata > Mammalia > Primates > Hominidae > Homo > Homo sapiens. The sequence goes on along the minus strand of NC_000006.12, from coordinate 68,468,378 downwards.
TTTTCTTGTAATGTCATTATGTTCTCTGCTTCTTGGGAGAACTTCCAGCATCACTAGTCGCACTTTGTATGGGTCTCAAGGTTTTATTCAAGGTTTGCCATATTGCACTAAGTGAAAAATATGTAAGAACATCCAGAGATCACTCTTTACTGTGATACACAATTTACTGGAAAGACAACTACTCGCTTAGAGTTGATTAGTGTCACAGAGCATTTTAAGTGGATACGCAAAACGCTTGAGCTCACTGCAATAGCAACAGGAGGTGGCTACAAAATTATTATAGTAATATAGTATGTACTACAGTTAATTTTATAAAGTTATGACTTAATCATATATCTTTACCTTTGTTTACATTTCTACCAACTGCAAATGATTCCAAGTAGTCTGTGTTTGTGTGTGCATAAGTTCTGATAAATTTTAACTTTTTATTAAAATATCTGTAGATATTTTATGGTAGCAAATGATGAAATAGACCGGTAGCTACATATATTTTATGCATTCATAACACTTAACTATTTCTTAATTTTTTGAGAGTTGTATGTTACATTTTTTTCTGTAAGTTTGTTCACATTGTCTAACACCCCTCCCCCACAAATTTTTCCAATATACTGCAAAATATCCATCTATAAGTGGACCTGCATAGTTGAAGTCTATGTTGTTCAAGGGTCAACTGTACTTGAAATCTTTCACAAAAGTTATAATTTTAATAGTTATATAATACTGAAAATATCTAGCAGTGATTATTCTAAATGCTTTATATCTATTAACGCATTTAATCCTCAGATCAGCCTAATGAAATAGATTCTATTGTACACACCATTGTCAAGACAGGAAATTGAGGCACTGAGAGGTAATTTGTCCAATCTCAGACTACTAGGAAGTAGTGGAGCCAAGCTTCAACCCCATGGAGTTTACCTCCAGAATGTATATTCTAAGTCAGTCCACCGTGCTGCATATTACTGTAAATCCATATATTTGGACTATTGGATGCCTATGACATTACTATAAATATCAATAATATTACTTCTTCCTATGATATTACTGTAAATCTATATATTTGGACTATTAGAAATGAAACACTAAGAGGTTGTTTTAAATTCTCAGAAGCCTGATTTGTAATTTTACCTAGGAAGAAGCCCAATCTACTTTAGCATGAATGCCTTCAAGTGGAGTTAATATTCTCTATCAAATACGAGCTTTGAATCTTACCAGGTAATTCAAAAATACTTGTATAACATTCGATAATTCTTTAGCAAATAGCAAGGAAAGATTGACCAGGGTGACATTTGCATTTTTAGGGCAAGAGTTAACTTATTGTTTTGTCCATAATACAATTACAGGATTACTGTGCTGTCTTCTTTATGAAGACCTGAGTTACACCCATACACCTCTTTAGGATAACATAGTTGCAAAGAATACTGCCAAATGTCTAATAAGTTAATATTTTGGACGGGTGGTTTGTGACCATCAGTAAGCATATTGGTACATACCTTGCACTTACACGAGTTGTAGTTTTTTGTAACTAATATAATATTGTATTGCAGTTCTAGAAAACTGAGAGCTTGTCTCGCTTCTGTTTAAGAAACTAAAATTTTATACCTACATTAATGTCATGACTACAGCTCAAAATTGTACCTTTGATAACTTGTCTTCTTGGTTGTCTATATACTGCTAAGGTCCTATGCAATATATATAATGAGAATATCATCTTGCATTCCCTAAACTATAAGGTTAGGTAAAATTTCATGGAATCCTCCATTTCTAAAGTTTATGCAAGCCCAAATTATTTTCAATTATTTATGCAAAAAACCCATGGGGCTGGTGTCTAATATTTCCCTAGGCTTAATTTTCTACCACTTTAATTCAAGCACATAGTTCACCAAATTTCAAAGCAAACAAAATTATTATTTATATATGTGCAAATAGACTATGTTAAACAACTTGGGATTGAAGATATTTCATAGTCTTTATCCCACAGTTAAGAATTTATTATTATTGTTCTTAAAGATCTTTTTTACCACTCTACCCATTCCCTTACTTTCCTCCATTACTACATGAACATCATGTAAAGTGATCCAATCCAAACAGAAAAGTAAAATTTAAAAAAATCTGATGAAGTGTCCAGTTATAGTAATGACAGAGGTACTTGTATTGGACTAACTATGCTGAAGGCAATAGCTATGAACACTGGGCAAAGTACAAAAAAAGAAAAACCTTACAACTGTATGAAGACACTGCTGAGTAAACAAAATCAAGCAGAAACCAGAGTAGATGCAACTCTTGAAAGAAGGGATGCAACACTAGGTGATATGTAACTTTAATGAGTCTTTCTTTCCTAGAGGGCATTTTCCTATCTACTGGAAGGGTGGGATTATAATAGAACATAAGGAAATCAACACTCTTGTTAGATCAAAGTTTCAAAGGATCGAGTTCAGAAATGCCAAAGTAGCCACATATTAAGGAGAAAAGGTGAATTCAAAAGAGAGATACGCAGTTTGAGGAGTCCCAGTAGCTATACGTAAGCTAGCCCAAACACTTTGTGGAACACTGAACTTCACATGAGAAAAAGAGATTCATAATTACCCTGCAAAACTAGTAGCTAAAAGGCCCAAAAGCAAAAAGAAATTTTTGCTGTTTTCCATCACAATGAACAGAGTTTGGTATTTGAGTCATGCCGCATGAGAGGGAGTAATAACCTCTGGGCTTTCTACAGAACCATCTTATAAAAACAGAAAATGAAAACCCTAAAATTGAACATAGAGCAGTTTGTAAATGTCTGATAGAAGATAAATCAATACACATCAGAGTCAAGGTTCTCTACAATGTATAATCCCTGATGTCCAATGTCCAATTGAAAAAGAATTATTAGACATTTGAAGCAGAAAAATGTAACCCATTGTCAAGAAAAAAAAAACAGTGAAGATAATCAGAACACAGGATACCACAAATGTTAGAATGAGCATATAAATAGCATTTCTGAGCAGATAAGTAATGTATTGCCTAAGGATTTAAAGAAAAACATGAACATATTTTTAAGCAGATGAATAACTCAATTGAGAAATATAAACTATAAAGTAGAAGTAAATGGATATTTTTTAACATATTGCAATATAGAAAGTGATAAATTTATGGCATAGGCTTAATCTCAGATTGCTGAAAACAGAACAAAGGGTTAATTCACTTGAAGCAGAACAACAGAAGTGATCCAAAATAAAAAAGAGAAGGCAAAAAAATGGACAAAAATAAAAAGCCTTTTTAATAAGCCAGATAATAACAGTGTAATATATATATATATGTGCATGTATGTATATGTTATATACAAAACAATTATATATATAATTTGAATGCAAAAAGTAGAAGAGAAATACATTTTTAAAACTTTAAAAAATTTTTACTATTTTTAAAAATTAGCTAAAATTTTTCCAAATTTGGTGAAAAACACCAATTTCTAAATCCTGAAATCCAAATAAACTAAAAGTAGGATAAGTAAAAAGTCAAATAACTGAAGATAAATGTAAAGGGAAAAATCTTGAAAGTAGCGAGAAAAAAATGATGCATTGCCTATGCAGGAATAATGATATAAATGACAGTGGGCTTCTCATAGGAAAATATCACTTGATCATAGTGGATAAGCTTTTTGATGTGTTGCTGGATTCGGTTTGCTAGTATTTTATTGAGGATTTTTGCATCAATGTTCATCAAGGATATTGGTCTAAAATTCTCTTTTTTGGTTGTGTCTCTGCCCGGCTTTGGTATCAGGATGATGCTGGCCTCATAAAATGAGTTAGGGAGGATTCCCTCTTTTTCTATTGATTGGAATATTTTCAGAAGGAATGGTACCAGCTCCTCCTTGTGCCTCTGGTAGAATTCGGCTGTGAATCCATCTGGTCCTGGACTCTTTTTGGTTGGTAAGCTATTAATTATTGCCTCAATTTCAGAGCCTGTTATTGGTCTATTCTGAGATTCAACTTCTTCCTGGTTTAGTCTTGGGAGAGTGTATGTGTCACGGAATTTATCCATTTCTTCTAGATTGTATAGTTTATTTGCGTAGAGGTGTTTATAGTATTCTCTGATGGTAGTTTGTATTTCTGTGGGATCAGTGGTGATATCCCCTTTGTCATTTTTTATTGCGTCTATTTGATTCTTCTCTCTTTTCCTCTTTATTAGTCTTGCTAGTGGTCTATCAATTTTGTTGATCTTTTCAAAAAACCAGCTCCTGGATTCATTGACTTCTTGAAGGGCTTTTTGTGTCTCTATTTCCTTCAGTTCTGCTCTGATCTTAGTTATTTCTTGCCTTCTGCTAGCTTTTGAATGTATTTACTCTTGCTTCTCTAGTTCTTTTAATTGTGATGTTAAGGTGTCAATTTTAGATCTTTCCTGCTTTCTCTTGTCAGCATTTAGTGCTATAAATTTCCCTCTACACACCGCTTTGAATGTGTCCCAGAGATTCTGGTATGTTGTGTCTTTGTTCTCGTTGGTTTCATCCCTGGGATGCAAGGCTGGTTCAACATATGAAAATCAATAAACGTAATCCAGCATATAAACAGAACCAAAGACAAAAACCATGTGATTATCTCAATAGATGAAGAAAAGGCTTTTGACAAAATCCAACAACCCTTCATGCTAAAAACTCTCAATAAATTAGGTATTGATGGGATGTATCTCAAAATCATAAGAGCTATCTATGACAAACCCACAGCCAGTATCATACTGAATGGACAAAAACTGGAAGCATTCCCTTTGAAAACTGGCACAAGACAGGGATGCCCTCTCTCACCACTCCTATTCAACATAGTGTTGGAAGTTCTGGCCAGGGCAATCAGGCAGGAGAAGGAAATAAAGGGTATTCACGTAGGAAAAGAGGAAGTCAAATTGTCCCTGTTTGCAGATGACATGACCGTATATCTAGAAAACCCCATCGTCGCAGCTCAAAATCTCCTTAAGCTGATAAGCAACTTCAGCCAAGTCTCAGGATACAAAACCAATGTGCAAAAATCACAAGCATTCTTATACACCAGTAACAGACAAACAGAGAGCCAAATCATGAGTGAACTCCCATTCACAATCGCTTCAAAGAGAGTAAAATACTTAGGAATCCAACTTACAAGGGATGTGAAAGACCTCTTCAAGGAGAACTACAAACCACTGCTCAATGAAATAAAAGAGGATACAAACAAATGGAAGAAAATTCCATGCTCATGGGTAGGAAGAATCAATATCGTGAAAATGGCCATACTGCCCAAGGTAATTTATAGATTCAATGCCATCCCCATCAAGCTACCAATGATTTTCTTCACAGAATTGGAAAAAAACTACTTTAAAGTTTGTATGGAACCAAAAAAGAGCCCGCATTGCCAAGTCAATCCTAAGCCAAAACAACAAAGCTGGAGGCATCATGCTACCTGAATTCAAACTATACTACAAGGCTACAGTAACCAAAACAGCACAGTACTGGTACCAAAACAGAGAAATAGACCAATGGAACAGGACAGAGCCCTCAGAAATAATGCCGCATATCTACAACTATCTGATCTTTGACAAAACTGAGAAAAACAAGCAATGGGGAAAGGATTCCCTATTTAATAAATGGTGCTGGGAAAACTGGCTAGCTATATGTAGAAAGCTGAAACTGGATCCCTTCCTTACACCTTATATAAAAATTAATTCAAGATGGATTAAAGACTTAAATGTTAGACCTAAAACCATAAAAACCCTAAAAGAAAACCTAGGCAATACTATTCAGGACATAGACATGGGCAAGGACTTCATGTCTAAAACACCAAAAGCAATGGCAACAAAAGCCAAAATTGACAAATGGGATCTAATTAAACTAAAGAGCTTCTGCACAGCAAAAGAAACTACCATCAGAGTGAACAGGCAACCTACAGAATGGGAGAAAATTTTTGCAACCTACTCATCTGACAAAGGGCTAATATCCAGAATCTACAATGAACTCAAACAAATTTACAAGAAAAAAACAGACAACCCCATCAAAAAATGGGCAAAGGATATGAACAGACACTTCTCAAAAGAAAACATTTATGCAGCCAAAAGACACATGAAAAAATGTTCATCATCACTGGCCATCAGAGAAATGCAAATCAAAACCACAATGAGATACCATCTCACAACAGTCAGAATGGCGATCATTAAAAAGTCAGGAAATAACAGGTGCTGGAGAGGATGTGGAGAAATAGGAACACTTTTACACTGTTGGTGGGACTGTAAACTAGTTCAACCATTGTGGAAGTTGGAGTGGTGATTTTTCAGGGATCTAGAACTAGAAATATCATTTGACCCAGCCATCACACTACTGGGTATATACTCAAAGGATTATAAATCATGCCGCTATAAAGACACATGCACATGTAAGTTTATTGTGGCACTACTCACAATAGCAAAGACTTAGAACCAACCCAAATGTCCAACAATGATAGACTAGATTAAGAAAATGTGGCACATACACCATGGAATACTATGCAACCATAAAAAAGGATGAGTTCATGTCCTTTGTAGGGACATGGATGAAGCTGGAAACCATCATTCTCAGCAAACTATGGCAAGGACAAAAAACCAAACACCGCATGTTCTCATTCATAGGTGGGAATTGAACAATGAGAACACATGGACACAGGAAGGGGAGCATCACACACTGTGGACTGTTGTGGGGTTGGGAGAAGGGGGAGGGATAGCATTAGGTGATATACCTAATTTTAAATGACGAGTTAATGGGTGCAGCACACCAACATGTCACATGTATACATATGTAACAAACCTGCACGTTGTGCACATGTACCCTAAAACTTAAAGTATAATAATAATAATAATAAACCTTACAAAAAAATTAAAAAATTTAAAAAAAACAAAAAATAAAATTATTTTCTATTTTCACAAAAAAAAAAGCCCAGAAGATTCTGTTCCATTGAAAACTAGTTTTAACATGTTGAAAGATAAAAACATAAAACAAAATTAAAAAAACAAAATCGAGCAATCTCAACTTCCATATCAAAGAAAAATATTTGTCAAAAATGAAGATAAAATTAAATCATCTTTTAAAAGAACGAAAGCTGAGATAACTCATTACCAGCAGACCTATGCTACATAAACCACTTAAGGAAGTTCTTCACATTAAAGAAAAATGAAATCAGAAGAAATTTGGATTTACAGAAAGGAATAAAATGTCCTGGAAGTTAAAAATAAGTGGATAAATATAAATAATTGTATTTTTATTTTCTTAATTCTTTAAAAGACAATTATTTAAAAGAAAAATGACAAAAATAAATTTTAATGTTAATAACACACGTATATGAAAACATATCACACAAAAATGGGAGTATAAATAAAACTGTCTTAAACTGTTATGAATTTTCACATAAAATGTAATGTCTTGCTTGCTGCAGTGGCTCATGCCTCTAATCCCAGCAATTTGGGAAGCTGAGGTGGGAGATCGCTTGGCCCAGGTGTTCTGAACCAGCCTGGGCAACATAGCAAGACTCTGTCTCAATAAAAAAAATCAAAATGTAGCCAGGTGTAGTGGTGTATGCCACTACTCAGGAAGTGGTGTATCCCAGCTACTCAGGAAGCTAAGGCAGGAGAATAGCTTGAGTCCAAGAAGTCAAAGCTGCAGTGAGCTGTGTTCATGCCACTGCATTCCAGCCTGAGCTACAGATTGAGACCCTATTTCAAAAAATATAATGTAATTTTTTTACATCTTATGTAAAGAGTTATAATAATAATGCTAAGATGAATGTAGTAATTCATGAGTATGTATTACAATACTTTCAGCAAACATTTAAAAATACAAAAAGATATCATTAAAAAGTGAATAAATTAAATGTATTGTTACAATATATTAATACCAGTTATGTTCCTAAATTAATTAAATTAAATGAACTAAAAACTCCAATTAGAAGGTTCATTGTTAGATGGGATAGAAAAACAACACAAAACTACATACTATTTACAACAACTCTACATTAAATATAAAGGCAGAGATAGGTTGAAAGTAAGAGAATGTAAAAGATATATCATCCAAATCATAAGCAAGAGAAAGCTCATGGCTATCTTAATATCAAATTAAGTAGTCTTCAAGACAAGGAGTTCTAACAGACATAAAAAGGGGCATTTATAATGATAAAAAGGCCATTCATCATGAAGACATAAAAATTATAAAGTTGTATACAGTTAATAGATCTTTTTAACTAATAAAAACTGACAGAAGAAAAGGAAGCAGTTCAGAAATCTAAAATTGTAGAACATTTTTAAAACACTCTCTTAGCAATTATAAAATTAATGAGACAAGGATGTTAGAAGAGGATAAATTTGGACAACACTCTTAAGAAACTTTAATATTTATAGAATGCTCCATCCAACAATTGAAGATTACATTTTATCAAATAGACTTTTCCATAATCTACAGATTGAGAAAGAAATCACAATGGAAATTATAAAATATTTTATATGGAGTTTCATTTTAAAAAATCAAAATTTATAGGAAGCAGCTAATGCAGTGCTTAGAGGAAAATGTGTAGCTTTAAATATTTATACTAGAAAAGAACCATTTTACTTTTAGTGATGCAGGTTTCCACAAAAAAAAAAAAACCTCAGAAAAGGTTAATAAGTTAAACTAAAAGTAGGATATAATATAGATAATAGCAGAAATTACAGAGAACACGAACAATAGAGAAAAGTTTTAAAGCCCAAACTTATCTAAAAATATAAATAAAATTTGACAAACACTGATTCAGTTTAATTCAAAAAGTAAAAGACAACATTATTATAGATACTTCAAACATTAAAGTATAACAAGATACTGTGAACAAATTTATGCCAATATATGTGATAGTTTTAATAAACGGTAGAAATGTATTGCAACTTATTCAAAAGTTAAAGGGAAAATAGAGAATCTGAAAATTTCTGCCTATGTTTAATAAAGCATTTAAGTTTGTCATAAGTTACTTCCTACAAAGATAACTCCAGCACCAAACAAATTCACTGGTGAATATCATAAAATGTTTAAGTGAGATATAAGGCCAGTTATATAAAAACTCTTTCAAAAACTATAAGAGGGCAGCATAAGTTTTATGCTAAACCTTGACAAAGTTAATCCAATAAAAGAAACTTAAAGATCAATCTGTCATGAACTTAGATGCAAAAATCCTTCAAAACATATTAGCATATTCAATTCAGCAATATATAAAATATATATTTTTACCATTCAGAGTTTAACAAGAGAAGTACAAGTAGGAGATAAGATATGTCAGTAAAGAATGGTGAGGTTCATAAATTTAGAAAGGAGACCTCAATTTGTCATAAAAAGTTGCAGCTTAGAGGGTGGCCATTCTGACAGTCTGGGAATCATAGAGTCCAGTCAGAAGCCAGAAACACTTCAAGAGAGGGCCAAAGGGAACAGAAATTTGTGCTGTGTGGGGTAACTCTATGTACCTATTTAATAAACTGTAGGAGTCATGAATATTTAAGGAGAATCATGCTCATTTGCAGTTAAGCTTCATGATTCTCTATGAGATCCATGTTTAAAAAAAAAAGAAAAGAAAAAAAAAAAGAAAAAGCAGCATTAGCATGATGGAAGGATGGAGTTTCCAGCCCTCTGACATCAAAAGGTGAAGCAGAGGACATAAAACCCTGTTAATTCTCCATTGGCTGGCCAGTACCACTCCTTGGTCTTTTTGTTTCTTATCAGGAAAGAATGCTAGTCAGCTGTTTTGTCAAAACCAAGAAAGGGAGGGTCAGCAACAGGCGGTTACTTGATATCAGAGGTGGAGGGAATCTCTCCAAAGATGTGATTTCTGTTCAGCCCTTGGGGAAGAAAGCCTAATGGCAGTTAGTGAGAGAAGGGATATAATGAGGCATGTTAAACCTTCCATTCTTCTATAGTCGGGAACTCAGTTTCAAGGTTTCTCTGGGGACCTCGGCCAAGAGGGGATTCATTCAGTCAGTTGAGGGGCTTAGAATTTTATTTTCAATTTCTTAGAGAGATGATAATAGATGTTAGATAAATAGTTACCTTTATTACAAGGAATTGGTTTACATGATTTATGAGAGCTGGCCAAATAAGTGTTAAGTTCATACAACATAGTCAGGGAGGAAGATCTTGAGAAGAATCAAACTCCACGGGCATGAGCCAAAGTTCGTGTACATTTTTTTTTCTCTTCAGAGTAAACTTCAGCTTTGTTTTTTCTTTCATCGTTGTTTTCTTTCTTTCTTTTTTTTTTTTTTTTTTGAGACAAAATCTTGCTCAGTCCCCCAGGCTGGAGTGCAATGGCGCGATCTTGGCTCACTGCAACCTCCGCCTCCTCAGTTCAAGTGATTCTCCTGCCTTAGCCTTCTGAGTAGGGTTTACAGGCACCCACCACCACGCCAAGCTAATTTTTGTATTTTTAGTAGAGACGGGGTTTCACCAGGTTGGCCAGGCTAGTCTTGAACTCCTGACCTCAGGTGATCCACTCACGCTGGCCTCCCAAAGTGCTGGGATTACAGGTGTGAGCCATTGCACCGGGCCCAGCTTTGGTTTTAAGAGCTTCTAACATATTCAGTCTGGACCACAAAAGGAATTTATCCAACATAATCTCCCTTACTTTTAATTTCAACTGATTAGAGGCTTAAAATGTATTTGTAAGATATTGTCACACAACACCTACATTTTTTTTGATAGAAAAATTGGAGACCGTGGCTCAAATTGACAAATAAATAAAGTCATTATAATATTACACATTGATCAAGTGGTATTTCTCTCAGAAATGCATGGTTTATGTAACATTTAAAAACCATTTAAATAAATTTACCATGTTACAGAATAAAGAATAAAAATGCATTAAAATTCAATATCCATTTATGCTAAACATCTTTTGATTTTTGAAAGATACTTAAGAAAACAAGAAGGAACTATAAATCTATTCCAAGTATGTATATCTGACAAAGTTGTATCCTAAACATATAATTAACTCTTACATATAAATAATAGGCAAAATAATTCAAACACTTCACAAGAGAAGATATTCAAGTGGCCCTTAAACCTGTAAAAAGATGCTCAATACCATTAGTCATTAAGGAAATGAAAATTAAAACCACAATGAGATACCTTTGCACATTTATGAGAACTCCTACAATTAAAATATTGGCAACACCAAGTATTGGTAAAGATGTGCAATAACTGTAGTTCTCATATACTGCTAGGGGGAGGTAAGATTGTACAGCCTCTTTGGAACAATTTGGTAGCTTCCTACAAACTTGAGGGATATAAAAGATCAACTTTTAAAATAGAAAATGGAAAAGTTGAATCTCTTTGATGGCAAAGAGTTCAGAATTCTTTTTCATGTGGAAATTCAAAAATGCATTGTAGAGACCAATGACTTGAGTCCAAACACTTCATAAACAAAATAAAGCAAACAGAAAAACATACCTGACTATTTTATTCTGAAAATAAGTGCGTTTTCCATATTAAATTTTCCAGAGCATTTCATCATTTTATTCTAAAATGTCATATCCATTAAGATCCACAATGAACAAAATAAAATTTTATGATACAGAGCTCATTCCTTAAAAGATTAAAAACTTGAGATGCAAAGTTAATCACATGGAGTAACATTCAACTCCTGCAGAGAATTTACGATGCTTTGTGGATCGTAGCTAGAAATATGGAAAACAGAAATTCGGGAGAAGGCTGGTAAGATGGCTGAATAGGAACAGCTCCAGTCTGCCACTCCCAGCAAGATCAATGCAGAAGGTGGGTGATTTCCACATTTCCAACTGAGGTACCTGGCTCATCTCATTGGGACCAGTTAGACAGTGGGTGCAGTCCACAGAGGGTGAACCAAAGCAGGGTGGGGTGTTGCCTCACCCGGGAAGCACAAGGGTTTGGGGAACTCCCTCCCCCAGCCAAGGGAAGCCTTAGGAAACTGTGCTGTGAGGACCAGTGCACTCCAGGTGCCTATGCCACCAGGGCCCTGGGTTTCAAGCACAAAATTCGGCTGCCATTTGGGCAGACACCAAGCTAGCTTTGGGAGTTTTTTTCATACCCCAGGGGTGCCTGGAATGCCAGAACCGTTCACTTCCCTGGAAAGAGGCTGAAGCCAGGGAGCTAAGTGGTCTAACTCAGTGGATCCCACCCCCGTGGAGCCCAGCAAGGTAAGATACACCAGCTTGAAATTCTTGCTACCAGCGCAGCAGTCTGAAGTCGACCTGGGATGCTCGACCTTGGTGTGGGGAGGGGTGTTCACCATTACTGAGGTTTGAGTAGACAGTTGTCCCCTCACAGTGTAAACAAAGCCTCGGGAAAGTTCCAACTGGGCAGAGCCCTCCACTGCTCTGCAAAGCGCTGTAGCCAGACTGCCTCTCTAGATTCCTCCTTTCTGGGCAGGACATCTCTGAAAAAAAGGCAGAAGCCGCAGTCAGGGGCTTATAGATAAAGCCCCCATCTCCCTGGGACAGATCACCAGGGTAAAAGGGGTGGCTGTGGGTGAAGCTTCAGCAGACTTAAACGTCTCTGCCTGCCAGCTCTGAAGAGAGCAGCAGATCTCCCAAGCACAGCGTTCAAGCTCTTTGAAGGGACAGACTGCCTCCTTAAGTGGGTCCCTGAACCCTGTGTCTCCTGACTGGGAGACACTTCCCAGCAGGGGCCAACGGACACCTCACAGAGGAGAGCTCTGGCTGTCATCAGGCTGGCGCCCCTCTGGAACTAAGCTTCCAGAGGACGAAACAGGGAGCATCTTTGCTGTTCTGCAGCCTCTGCTGGTGATAACCAGTTGAACAGGGTCTGGAGTGGACCTCCAGGAAACTCTAGCATACCTGCAGCAGAGGGGCCTGACTAATAGAAGGAAAACTAACAAACAGAAAGGAATAACTTCAAGATCAACAAAAAAGACATCCCCTCAGAAACGTCATATCCATTATCCTTCATCTGAAGGTCACCAACATCAAAGACCAAAGATAGATAAATCCATGAAGATGAGGAGAAACCAGTGCAAAAAGGCTGAAAATTCCAAAAACCAGAACGCCTCTTCTCCTCCAAAGGATCACAACTCCTCACCAGCAAGGGAAAAAAAACTGGACAGAGAATGAGTTTGACAAATTCAGAACTCCTCCAAGCTAAAGGAGCGTGTTCTAACCCAATGCAGGGAAGCTAAAAACCTTGAAAAAAGGTTAGATAAATTGCTAACTAGAATAATCAGATTATAGAAGAACATAAATGACCTGATGGAGCTGAAAAACATAGCATGAGAACTTTGTGATGCATACCCAAGTATCAATAGCCAAATCGATCAAGCAGAAGAAAGCATATCAGGTTGAAGACCAACTTAATGAAATCAAGTATGAAGACAAGATTAGAGAAAAAAGAATGAAAAGGAACAAACAAAGCCTCCAAGAAATATGGGACTATGTGAAAAGTCCAAACCTACATTTGAATGGTGTACTTGAAAGTGACTGGAGAATGGAACCAAGTTGGAAAACACTCTTCAGGATATTATCCAGGAGAATGTCCCCAACCTAGCAAGACAGGCCAACATTCAATTTCAGGAAATACAAAGAACACCACAAAGGTACTCTCTGAGAAGAGCAACCCCAAGACACATAATCATCAGATTCACCAAGGTTGGAATAAAGGAAAAAATGTTAAGGGCAGCCAGAGAGAAAGGTCTGGTTACCCACAAAGAGAAGCCCATCAGACTAACAGAAGATCTCTCTGCAGAAACCCTACAAGCCAGAAGAGAGTGGGGGCCAATATTCAACATTTTTAACAAAAATAACTTTTAACCCAGAATTTCATATCCAGCCAAACTAAGCTTAATAAGCAAAGGAGAAATAAAATCCTTCACAGGCAAGCAAATGCTGAGAGATTTTGTCACCACCAGGCCTGCCTTACAAGACCTCTTGAAGGAAGCACTAAACATGGAAAGGAACAACTGGTACCAGCCACTGCAAAAAGATACCAAATTGTAAAGATCGTTGACACTACAAAGAAACTGCATCAAATAGCAGGCAAAATAACCAGCTAGTATCATAATGACAGGATCAAATTCACACATAACAATATTAACCTTAAATGTAAACAGGCTAAATGCCCTAATTAAAAGACACAGACTGGCAAATTGGATAAAGAATCAAGACCCATTGGTGTGCTGTACTCAGGAGACCCAACTCATGTGCAAAGACACACACAGGCTCAAAATAAAGGGATGGAGGAATATTTACCAAGCAAATGGAAAGCAAAAAAAAAAAAAAAAAAAAAGCAGAGGTTGCAATCCTAGCCTCTGATAAAACAGACTTTAAGCCAACAAAAATCAAAAGAGACAAAGAAGGGCATTACATAATGGTAAACACAGGAAAGCAACAAGAAGAGCTAACTATCATATTCATATATATATATATATATATATATATATATATATATATATATATATATCTCCAATACAGGAGCACCCAGATTCATAAAGCAAGCTCTTAGAGACCTACAAAGAGACTTAGACTCCCACACAATAATAGTGGGAGACTTTAACACCACACTGTCAATATTAGACAGATCAACAAGTCAGAAAATTAACAAGGATATTCAGGACTTGAACTCAGCTCTGGGCCAAGTGAACCTAATAGACATCTACAGAACTCTCCACCCAAAATAAGCATAATATACATTTTTCTCAGCACCACATCACACTTATTCTAAAATTGATCACATAATTGGAAATAAAACACTCCTCAGCAAATGCAAAAGAACAGAAATCATCAACAATCTCTCAGACAACAGTGCAATCAAATTAGAATTCGGGATTAAGAAACTCACTCAAAACCGCACAGCTACATGGAAACTGAACAACCTGCTCCTGAATGACTACTGGGTAAATAACACAATTAAGGCAAAAATAAATAAGTTATTTGAAACCAATGAGAACAAAGACACAACGTACCAGAATCTCTGGGACGTAGCTAAAGCAGTGTCTAGAGGGAAATTTATAGTGCTAAATGTCCACAAGAAAAAGCAGAAAAGATCTAAAATCCACACCCTAGCATCACAATGAAAAGAACTAGAGAAGCAAGAGCAAAGAAATTCAAAATCTAGCAGAAAACAAGAAATAACTAAAATTAGAGCAGAACTGAAGGAGATAGTGACACAAAAAACCCTTCAAAAAATCAATGAATTGAGGAGCTGGTTTTTTGAAAAGATCAACAAAATAGATAGACTGCTAGCCAGACTAATAAAGAAGAAAAGAGGAAGAATCAAGTAGACACAATAAAAAATGATAAAGGGGATATCACCACTGATCCCACAGAAATACAAACTACCATCAGAGAATACTATAAATACCTCTATGCAAATAAACTAGAAAACCTAGAAGAAATGGGTAAATTCCTGGACAAATACACCCTCCCAAGTCTAAACCAGGAAGAAGTCAAATTTCTGAATAGACCAATAATGAGTTCTGAAATTGAGGCGGTAATCAATAGCCTATTAACCAAAAAAAAAAAAAAAAAAAAAAAGCCCAGGACCAGATGGATTCACAGCCAAATTCTACCAGAGGTACAAAGAGAACCTGGTATCATTACTTCTGAAAATATTCCAATCAATAGAAAAAGAGGGAATCCTCCCTAACTCATTTTATGAGGCCAGCATCATCCTGATACGAAAACCTGGCAGAGACACAAGAAAAAAAGAAAATTTCGGGCCAATATCCCTGATGAACACCAATGTGAAAATCCTCAATAAACTAATGGCAAACCAAATCCGGAAGCACATCAAAAAGTTTATCCACCACAATTGAGTTGGTTTCGTCCCTGGGATGCAAGACTGGTTCAACATACACAAATCAATAAACGTAATCCATCACATAAATAGAACCAATGACAAAAACCACAAGATTATCTCAATAGATGCAGAAAAGGCCTTCAACAAAGTTGAACACCCCTTTATGCTAAAAACTCTCAATAAATTAGGTATTGATAGAATGTTTCTCCAAATAATAAGAACCATTTATGACAAACCCACAGCCAATATCGTACTGAATGGGCAAAAACTGGAAGCATTCCCTTTGAAAACCAGCACAAGACAAGAACTCCCTCTCTCACCACTCCTATTCAACATAGTATTGGAAGTTCTGGCCAGGGCAATCAGGCAAGAGAAAGAAATAGAGGGTATTCGAATAGGAAGAGAAGAAGTTAAATTGTCTCTGTTTGCAGATGATATGATTGTATATTTAGAAAACCCAATCATTTCAGCCCAAAATCTCCTTAAGCTGATAAGCGACTTCAGCAAAGTTTCAGGATACATTATCAATGTGCAAAAATCACAAGGATTTCTATACACCATAATAGACAAACAGAGAGCCAAATCAGGAGTGAACTCCCATTCACAACTGCTTCGAAGAGAATAAAATACCTAGGAATACAACTTACAAGGGATATGAAGGACCTCTTCAAGGAGAACTACAAACCACTGCTCAAGGAAATAAGAGAAGACACAAACAAATGGAAAAACATTCCACGCTCATGGATAGGAAGAATCAGTATCGTGAAAATGGCCATACTGCCCCAATTTATAGATTCAATGCTTTGCCCATCAAGCTACCAATGACTTTCTTCACAGAATTAGAAAAAAACTACTTTAAATTTCATATGGAACCAAAAGAGAGCCCACATAGCCAAGACAATTCTAAGCAAAAAGAACAAAACTGGAGGCATCATACTACCTGACTTCAAACTATACTACAAGGCTACAGTAACCAAAACATCATGGTACTGGTACCAAAACAGAGATACAGACCAATGGAACAGAGCAGAGGCCTCAGAAATAACACCACACCTCTACAACCATCTGATCTTTGATCTTTGACAAACCTGTCAAAAACAGGCAATGGGGAAAGGATTCCCTATTTAATAAATGATGTTGATGGCTAGTCATATGTAGAAAACTGAAACTGGACCCTTTCCTTACACCTTATACAAAAATTAACTCAAGGTGAATTAAAGACTTAAATGTAAGACCTAAAATCATAAAAACCCTAGAAGAAAACCTAGGCAATACCATTCAGGACATAGGCATGAGCAAAGACTTCATGACTAAAGCACCAAAAGCAACAGCAACAAAAGCCAAAATTGACAAATGGGATCTAATTAAACTAAAGAGCTTCTGCACAGCAAAATAAACCATCTTCACAGTGAACAGGCAACTTACAGAATGGGAGAAAAAATTTGCCATCTATCCATCTGACAAAGGGCTAATATCCAGAATCTACAAAGAACTTAAATTTACAAGAAAAAAAAAACATCGAAAAGCGGGCGAAGTATATGAACAGACACTTCTTAAAATAAGACATTTATGCAGCCAACAAACATGAAAAGAGCTCATCATCACTGGTCATTATAGAAATGCAAATTCAAACCACAATGGGATACCATCTCACATCAGTAAGAATGGTGATCATTAAAAAGTCATGAAACAACAGATCCTGGGGAGGATGTGGAGAAATAGGAATGCTTTTACACTGTTGGTGGGAGTGTAAATTAGTTCAACCATTGTGGACACAGTGTGGTGATTCCTCAAGGATCTAGTACCAGAAATACCATTTGACCCAGCAATCCCATTACTGGGTATAAGGATTATAAATTATTCTGCTGTAAAGACACATGTCCATGTATATTTATTGCAGCACTGTTCACAATAGCAAAGATTTGGAACCAACCCAAATGCCCATCAATGATAGACTGGATAAAGAAAATGTGGCACATATACACCATGGAATACTATGCAACCTTAATCCCAGCACTTTGGGAGGCCGAGGCGGGCGGATCACAAGGTCAGGAGATCGAGACCATCCTTGCTAACACAGTGAAACCCCGTTTCTACTAAAAATACAAAAAATTAGCCAGGCATGCTGGTGCATGCCTGTAATCCCAGCTACTTGCGAGGCTGAGGCAGAATGGCTTGAACCCAGGAGGTGGAGGTTGCAGTGAGCCGAGATCACTCCACTCCACTCCAGCCTGGGTGACAGAGCAAGACTCCATCTTAACAACAACAACAAAAAAAATAAAATAAAATAAAATAAAATATGAGCTCATGTTCTTTGCAGGGACATGGATGAAGCTGGAAACCATCATTCTCAGCAAACTAACACAAGAACAGAAAACCAAACACCACATGTTCTCACTCATAAGTGGGAGTTGAACAATGAGAATACATGGACCCAGCTAGGGAAACATCACACACCAGAGCCTGTTGGGGGGTTGGGGGCTGGGGGAGGGATAGCATTAGGAGAAATACCTAATGTAGATGATGGGTTGATGGGTGCGGCGAACCACCATGGCATGGGTATACCTATGTAACAAACCTGCACATTCTGCACATGTACCCCAGAACTTAAAGTATAATAAAAAAAGATTAAAAATTTAGTTTTACAAACATCAAGATAACAAGTCAGATCTCTTGTCTATAGCAAATATTCCATATAAAGAGTTTATACGATTTATTTTATTTATTTTTTGAGACAGAGTCTCGCTCAGGCTCCCAGACTAGATTCCAGTCGCGCTATCTCTGCTCACTGCAGCCACTGTCTCCAGGGTTCAAGCGATTCTCCCGTCTCAGCCTCCCAAGTAGCTGATATTACAGGCACCTGCCATCATGCTTGGCTAATTTTTGTATTTCAGTAGAGATGGGGTTTCACCATGTTGGCCAGGCTGGTCTCGAACTCCTGACCTCAGGTGATCCTCCTGCCTCGGCCTCTCAAAGTGCTAGGATTACAGTCATGAAGCTTTAAGTTTGCTTTTGCATTCTCCCACATCTCAATTAAGCTGTATAGTCTTTGGAAAACTGGTATAAGAACACTTTTAAGTCACAGAGAATACAAACATTAAAGCAGATTTTTCTAGATGTGGTTACTCACTCAAGTCCTAGGGGCTGAGACATGGTGGATTGATTGAGTGGTTTTAAAATACTGTGTAAATTTTTCTTAAATATGAAACAATTATTTGAAGAGTAAAATGATAGTTCTGAATATAAAAAGGTAATTATTTTCCTTTTGCACTCTTTTTATTTCCTTTTGCACTCTTGAGTTTCTTTAGAAGTGGGGATATTTTATTTGCAGGAAATAATTTTAAACCAAACTTCAGCAGAAAACCAAGAGCTTTGTGTTTTGTTGTAGGGCTTTCAGTCTTCTTTGAAGGGCTTTGAAGAGTTAAATGGGGGAGGACGGGGGGATGCGGGGACTGCCTTACATGCATTATGAATGTGAGCACATTCTGGTTTTCCTCCATTTCTGCCTGAAGTTAATTAAAAATAACCTAAACCAAGCAAAAAAGACAAATAGAAAAGAAATGCAATAAAATAAACGTAAAAAAAAGTAGAAGATGCAAGAATAAATAATTTATAAAGTGCCAAGCAAAGCTGAATGTCTAAATTAAAACATATTAAAAAATGTGAGGGATATAAATAATCAACCTATACAATAGAAAATCCTAACTAATTAATGTTGAATTTCTTGATGGGCATAGAATGCAGAATTATTTCTCATGTGAAACCTCAAAAACATGTTGTACAGAACTATTTTCATGGAGTCTTTATGACTCTCCATTTATTATAGTTATTGAAGAAGCTTGTTATAGAAGAAGCTTGAAAGTCAACGCTACCCAAATTTATTACTGATATGCAGAAGAGACCTATGTGAACAAAGCTCTTGTCAGAAATACTAAAGGTAACAATCAGCAAATAATATGGAATTCTTCAAGTTTCTTAGAATTATGAGAAGTATGTATTTAATTTTATATAATTTTATGATGTATGTATATATAAGGTATATCATACAATAGAAATACAAATTACTTTTGTATCAGCCAGTGTTTCACATAGCATAACATGATAAGAAGGATTTATTCTGGGGTTATTTGTTTCATGTGCCAATTGCGTTGCTATAAACTCATTAATCTGTTTGGTTTATTGCCATTTATGCTATTAGAGTTAAATTATAAAGTATGCATTATACTTAGGTCTTTATATCATTTAAATATTCTAATCAAACAGTTGAAGTAATGCTTTAGAAATAATTATTTTAAATTTCATTAGGGGTCTACAAAAACTAAGTGTAATTTGTGTCTAACTTCATTTCAGTGACAAGGCTATCTAAATTTTCTATGACATCATGTACCATAACACAATATAATTGCCTTTAATCTTCTGAAATATAGATATTTAATATCTCAGTATATATTATTTACATAGAAAAATAACCTGGTAATTTTTAATATAAAAATGTGTACATGTTCTTCTTCCTTTTAACCATGTACTTGGTCTATGCTGAAGGTATGTGTATGTTTTAATTTGTAAATGTTAACTACTTACATTTAAAATAAATGATTGACCAATATAAGGTGTTTTACTGAAAACTAGAGGTAGAAGTAGAAAATAGAAAAACTCAAGAGTTAAAAATAAATATAATCTTGTCATTTTCTGTATAAATGATGAAGTCAGTATATGTATCTTCCTTTTACAACTCTACTGAAAGTAATGTTCACAAGTGGGATTCTTTGTAAAAAGCTCTGAAGTACCATAAGAGTTTAAGTAAAGCTTTTGCTTTTATTAATGACCAAGACTCAGACAATTATTTTTAGATCTATAGAAAGAAAGTTTCACATACTACATATTTATGGTTATTGGTCAAAATATTTGGTAATATTTAAAATTACATAAATCGATAAAATAAATTCAGTAAAATTGATAAAATAGTAAATTGAGTCTCGAAAATATAATGACTTTTTTAGGCATCTAAATTTTATAAAGTCAAATTGTGTGCACGTACTCACTTGAGCTGTTTTCCCCCCTACCATTTGAGAGTTCCTAGAGGAAGGTCATATACCAGTTAAACACCACCATTTTGCTTCTTAGTGCGTATGCTTGAGGCCACGTGCTCAACTCCTGAGATCTTATTGGGAAGCCACTGATAACGAGTTTCAGGATTTTCCCATCTATTGGAAGACTGACTTTCCCTGGTGCCAGCTGCAACCAATTATTAATTTAGAGAGAGAGTTTAACAACCTCCTGAGCATCACCTGATGGTCGCCTGACATTCCTGGTGGTGGGGGAAGGGGGCCCTCTCCTGCCCTGCTGCTGTCTGACTACCTACTGTGACATTACCTCTTCTGCTGATTTAAGTACATAGAAAAAAGACTGTAAATGCCACTATTAGGGCAAGACTTCATATATGCCAAATTGTGTACATGGGTTATCTGCTATAAAAATGCATCTACATCTTGGCTGTAAAAAAAAAAAAAAATGTTTGGTTAGGTGACAAAACAAACTTTTATGTCTCTCTGCTTTGAATTAGATTCTTAATGAAATAATCAGAAATGATAAATGTTGTTTTAAATGGTGATCAGATGCTTGAGCTCCAGAAGGGCAAATTCAGAAAGGCAAAAGCCTATTCTATTCTGATATTACAATGTAAAATCCACTTGATTCTGATTTCTGAAAACATAAAAATGTTAAAAGAGAAAGGAGGAATATGGATTATTCATTCAACAATGATAAGGCAAGCATATTATTCAGCCTACAAAAATAGTTTGAAAATATGCAGCTTTGAATACTTTGTGATCACCAGAGGAGCATTCAAATTTACTTTTTTCTTTTATTATCTGAATTGTTTTGGGTGATCTATTTTACTATTCTATTGCACTTCATTTTTCACACACGGTTCTGTTACTAAACTTATTAGTCTAAACTCCTGCAGATAAGTGTGAACATAAAAATATAATTATACCCTTGAGTTTTAAGTATAAAATTTATTTCCCAGAACTATACCTTTGCCAACACTTGTGATCAGAACAGCTCCTTTGATTCGGTATGTCTTTAAGTTTTTCAATTTTATTATTTACATATTGTTTCCATGTAAGGTAATATAAAGCCATGCTAAATAAAACAATTTTAACTTTCTTTTTCTAGCATATTAAATTCTTTGATGCTGTTACAATAAATTATATTTAACAAATTAAATAAATTTACTGTACTTCTGTGAAGGGATCTAACTTTTTAAATAATCTAGTTTGTATAATTCAATACTGTATTTTGAGAAATTTCAATGAAAAATTTTATGAGACCATTCACAAATTGCTGAAGACAGAAGATATAAAATTATTTGAATATGCTCTTTGTGAATTATGCTGATGATCACATTTGGTGGTCCACAAACAGTTGTTCCTGCTTATCAGCCTGGATTTAGCAACCTACAGGTTAGAGGCTGGCCTCTAGCTGTTTTTTATCTGGGAATGATTAAGATTGAGACAACTTTTCCTTTGCCTTCTCACAAATTTGGCTTCACTACTCTTTCCAGTAGTAAAGGTAACAAGATGTATTATCATTGCATTGATTATTCTTACTCCTTTGGTGTTACTAGGATTGCCTGATTTAACAGGAAAGGAAATATATGGAGAGACTTGTATCTGCCTTAAGTCTCTTATGCTAGACTCTGATTCCAACTCAAAGCCTTCTGAGTCATTGGTAATAGATACAGACAAACTGAGTTAAAACTTTTTTCAATAAATATGCTTAGGGTTTGAATTTTTTTTATATTTTATGTTGATTCCATTTTGTATGACAAGAGTTCCATTTCACTTTTCAGCAGGATAAAATAGTGCTTCAAGGTTACAAAATTATAACGTGGGTTCTTATTTCCAAGAGATTCTCTCTACATTGCTTTACAGGATTAATGGGGGTGGTGGGTTGTGATATCCTTTTGTGCATTATGAATGGACACTTCATCTTAAATGTTGGCTATAATCCTGATTTTTAACACTGATTCATCTTCGTGACCTTGAATAAAGAATAAGTTGTATATGATTAATTTTTTAAATCATTAAATATTTCTGCTTCTTGAAGTAGATATGAACAATACTAATATGTTTTGAATTCCCCTGAAGTACTGTAGAAAGACTTGAAGTATTATTAATTATAGTAATACATGAGAAGGAGAAAATATTCCAAAAGGGCCTCTAGAAATGTAAAAAGTCCTCAAAGTCATGGTCCAACCAGTCACTGAAACTTTTTTAAAGGTAAAAATACCTGCCTTTTTCATACATGTTATCCACAGAGAAATAAATTTGTTAGAAATATGTGTAAGTGTTTAGGCAAAAAATATTATTTATTTTGATTCAAAAAGAATGATTTCCAAATCTGGTTAAGCTCCTTGTTTTGTTAATTCTTATCTAAGGTGTGTGAGAATACTACTTACTGGTGGGTTTTTATTATAATGAACTTAACTCTAAAGCCTTTAGCAGCTGGGACTTGAACTTACTGGCAAAAGGACTGCCGAAAGGCTATATTTTATTACATTACCTTATTCTTAAACCCTTTGCATAAAGGCCTAAGATCTAAAAATTTTTTATCTTAGCATAATAGTATTATACCATCAGAACTATAATAAAAAATTAGATTACTTCTTCTATTATGACACCCATTTTTCATAGTTTAATGATGCTGTGATCAAAATACCCTTGGCAATTTGATATGCATGTTAAGACAGGTTATAAATTACAATCAAAGGTGAAATGGCTTTATGAAATTATGTATCTATAAAGAAAAATGCAAGCAAGCCATTTTTTTCTAAAGTAGAACTCAATCTCATCACACTTACAAACAAAATTTGCTTTCTTGTTCATTTTGAAAGGAAAGTAGTTTCTACTCTTTTGAAAAAACATTGTTTACATAAGTAAACAAGCCAGGGCTGCTGTGAAAGTTATTATGGAAGATACAATTTATATATTTTCTGGAAAATATATCGCCTCATATATACAGACAAAACCTTTGCTTTAACATGTTTGTGCAACTAATTACTTACTTTCCAATGAGTACAATTTCCCACTAGGTGTTTTAAATTAAATTAGGCATGACGTTAATGCATGTTCCAAAATATATTTCCGATACGTTTTGTTTTCCTGATCCATTTTTGCATCTCACACTAATCCTCCCAAATGGGCACTTTTAATGGTCTCTCCAGCATTAAAATGAAAAAGTCTGTGTATTATAAATTTGAAATCATCTGATAACCAGCATTTACTTTAACCTGCTTACATAATGTTATTTCCTGATAAATCATTCTATTATTGATAAATAGGTCTATTCATATTAAATGTCAATTTATAAATTTTATCAATTATTTATATGAAAAGTTAAAAAAGAAATTCAAAATTAAAGTTGTCCACATAGCTACAGATGCTCTCTTGTCAGAGTAGCCTACCTAAGCACATTTGATTCTATAGGCTGTGTGTTTTAATAGGATGTATTTAACTACCTTGTGATGAACTAATAGACCTGCTTTTTTAAATTGCTTTTTAGAGTTTCTGCAGCTCAATAAAGTAATTTCAGTGAATTCCCAGGATGCTAAGACAATAGGCAGGATTTTGAAAGATTTTAAACTGCTTCTTAATTTCTTCTTCCTGAAAAATGCAAAACAGTGAAGTTCCCCTACAAGCCACCAGGGATTTGCCATATCATATGTATATTGCAATTTTATTTGCTCAATTTTCTTTAATTTTTTTCTCAGCCAAACAGTTTAGTAAGAATCTGTTGGAAATTCCACAATATCAAGGATTGCACATCTATTTTAAAATGTAGCACTTAGTATACATCAATTATCCTATTATGATAGTAGTTAATTTTTATTTACATCAACATAAAATTAAAATAAAAGCATTAAATATAGCATTTACAATAATTTCAACTCTTTGAACTATTAAATAAAATTTAAAGGCATATATAAATGTGTGCAATTCACAGATTAATACGTACATTTGGACTCAGTTTTATGGATTTATATCCCCTCAGTAGATAGAAATGTTATCTGTGCTATACCACAAGTGAAAACTATATGCATATATTAATTAAATTTTAGCATGGTTATGGTTATTTGCATTGAAAATGCATATTCAACATATTCTAAATCAGACAGACTCACACAGCCTTGAGACCTATTTTCAAAAATGGTAAATGTTGTAAACATTCTGTTTACCTTGATAATTTTTTACTTTATCTGCTGTGTAATTTTAGCACTGCTATTTCCTCTGCACCCTGTACTACGGATTAAATGTTTGTGTCCCCTCAAAATTTATATGTTGAAGCCCTAATCCTCATTGTGGTGGTATTTGGAGGTGAAGCCTTTGGGAGGTAATTTAGTCAAAAGCGTGGAGCCCTCATGAATGGCATTAGTGACCTTAAGAGAAATGAGACACAAGAGAGATTTCTCTTCAAATGCAATGATTAAACAAGAAATCTGTGATCTATAAACCACAAATAGGGTCCTCACCAAGAAGGAGGGCCTATATGCCTACATATTTACTCTCTCATTCATATACATACATACTGCATATACCTATATATTTACTCTCTCATTCATATACATTTCAATGGAGAGACTCAGTATATAATCATAACATGAGGCAATGGGTAATTACATGAATACTTTGGTTCACTTAAAGGAAATACACTTTGAGAAAAGTTACAAAAGGAGTGCTTGCACATTTCTATCATTTAATATCACTACATATTAGAATTATTAATTTTCTTTTACCTAAGACACTAGATTAAAATTATTCTAGAATACAAAACAGATAAATATCCAATTCAGTAATGGTATTTTTTATATTAATGTAAATGTGGAGTTTTCAAAAGAGTAATCGCAAATGAGGTCCATTTTATGCCACACAGAAAAATTGCAGCTGGGCCTAGAAAACATAACATTTCTGTTACTGAAAATGTGCTGGCTGGAAGCCAATATTATGATACCAGTTTTTGAGAAAAGAAAGAGCTTTATTGCAATTTGTCTTCCTGATCTGGGGGTCAGGACAAACTCCTATGTGCTAGAGAGGAAAACCTGGTATGTGTAAGCACTGGTGGTGCTGGTTTTGACTGGAAGGCTTTAAACCTGACCATTTATGGTAAGGCATGAAATGGTGGATTTCAGCACCAGAACTTCCTGCATCAAAGACTCCTTACTTCTGAAAGGGCTCAGGTTTCGGTCATGTCCCAGCCATCTTGGTTCTGTGGGGAAGAAACATTGGTTCTGGGTGTTCTTGAAAGTCAAAGCTTTTCCATGTGTATGCCCTGGCTACATCACTTGCAATTTTGGCTTAGGTACATCCACAGAACAACTTCAGCAAGGGTTACACAAGACTTGAACCGGTTTGAGCTGGTCCAGTGGTTACCTTTCCTGGTGCAAATATTTTTCCAGAAAACCTGAAAAATACACTTTTTCTTCTTTCCAGTGCTCTAATCTAAGAGAACTGTTAGCAGAAACATTCTAGTCGACCTTAGTTGTCAGGATAATGTATATATTTTCCATCATTTTTATTCCTAACACTGCTCTTAAAAGGCACTCTAATTTTGTGACCTCACTTACATTCCACTAAAGTTCTATTTACTATGCTTCCCCACTACAATTTAATTTATTGATTCTCTCTCAAAATGATGGTCTTAAAGTTCTTTTTGTTTATTTAAGTCACACCAGTACAATGGCTTTTTACTTTGGCTGCAGGTGTCACTTTACAGAGCCCATCACTAAAAAGGTAGGGTGCAATGGACATTTGTACTGACACCTACTCTATCTTGTGTTTAGACATTGCAAGCAATTGCTTTAAAATTGTTTTACTTTAATTGGGAGAACATAGTAGTTTGTCCTTCAATTCATGGTTACTTCTCCTACCTTCCTAATTTTGTCTTTCCATTTCCTATTTTTAATAATAAACACCCTATCTGTATAATCTGATGTATTTAAATTCTCATTTCAAATGCCTTCCTCAGTCGTAAGTTTTCTTTTTTTTATGGTTGTTTATTTCTTGGAATAACATTCTTCAGTAATTTATTTAACAAAACGTTGCCTTATACAATAAATAACCATTGATTTCAAAGGCAATATAACTAATCATGACCTTGTTAACCTGTTCACTAATGTTATTAAACTAACGAGTGCACACATAAGCACTGCTATTCTTTAACAAAATTAATGTTCCCGCTCAAGAGAGGAAGAAGCACATTATGAAGTGTTATTAAGTTCATTAATAAGGGTTAATATTTGATAGATACATAGATTTAATTTGGAGATTATACAGATTTAGAATACCAGGGTTAATGCTATTATCTCTACTTAAAAATGCTTGACCTAAAATAATTACTCAAATAATATATCTCCAAATCAGTGTTTTGTAAGGCACAACTGATCCTTATTTTAAAAAGAAAGTGTGCTAGGATACTACAAATATTTTAAAGTAAGAAATGACAACAAAGACATGGTATAGTTAAAAATGGGAACTTTAGTTTTCTTCCAGTCTAATACTGCAAATATTATTTAAAATGCTGTTATGTTTTGATTTTTCAAAGACATTATCCTTTCTCTATTAGCTCTTTCCCTTTTTTATATCTGATTTATTTTCTACTTCTGGATGCTTAGGCATCTCTTTGTTTTCCATTTATCTTCATATATGGATATTTGCTTTCACAGTTTCCTTTGCTCAGCTTTAAATGAGTTTCCTTTGCTCAGCCTTCCCACAATGATACCTTTGTATACAGAACGTAGATTCTTCCTTTTATTGTTTCTACTAATTTTCTGCATTTAAAGCTGTTTAGTAACATTCACCTATGACCCATCCATTGTAAGATTTAGTCTAAGAAATAAAGAACTTGATACTTGCGACTTAATCTCTTTTAACCATTTAATTTCATATTTAAAGGACCTGAGACTTTCCATTTTTAAATTGACTTACGAAGACTTTCTAATGAATTTTTTGAGCATTTAAAGCAGAGAAACATGTCTTCAAAGGTAGACATGTATTTAAAGGTATATTCAAGCACAAATTTTGTTTTATTCTATCTTGAAGGTCTCAAAATATTCCCTCATTAACTACAGTGTAGGAAACACCATATTACTTTTTAATTAATACAGATGAGAAGTATCTTGTCTCCCCTCACCTTTCCATAGTAAAAATCCTATTCCTACATCAGCTTGTGCAATTATAAATTTTAATAAAAAATGTTTTCCTATGGGGCATGTTATTAGGGTTAGTATAAGAGCAAATGGAAGTAATGGTATCATGTTAGGCCTGACTTATTTTGAACTCCATCCAGGGTCATACAGATTTTAGTTATCATTTTATTTTTAAAAATATTACCTCGCGGAATCATGAATCATTGCTGATGTTTGAAATAAGAGATTATTGAGAGAAACTTGGGCATCTGGGTGGAATTAAGAGAATACTTTATCTAAATCCTCATTGGACTTTTCACTTTATTTAGGTTATAACACTTAGGAGCTGTGATTGAATATTGGAATTACTAGTCATAAAATTACAGTATTTTGCCTTCAAATACACAACTTTATACCAAGTTTATAGAGGTTGCATTATCCCTGATTTTTAAAGACTTTGAGCATATATAACTGTAGGAATGAAATGGACACATATAGACAGCATCTCGCTCTATATGTGTCCATTTTTCCCCTAAAATTAGGTAGAAATTTCCTAAAAGCAGAATTCAAGTGAGTGATACATGCTCATGTGATTTATTGAAGGAATGCTCTCAGGAGAAGGAGGATGTTGGAAGCAGCGTAAGGCTGAGGATGAGCCATGAGCTATGAATAGCCAACACTCAGCAATATGGAAGATATGTGTACTAGCTGGGTAAAGGGAGCTAGGTAGGACATCAACAATGTCCAGTCCAGATGCAAAAATATAGGATCTTTATTTTCAGTAGTAGACAATGTTTGTTTGTAGAACACCTCTTCATTTTCTCCTAGGCAGACATGGAGAACAAAGTAACTCTGTCTCTCTTTGGTTTTGGCTAGTTTTTGTTGGTGGTGGTGGTGGTAGTGGTTTGTTTTTCAATCTCAGTGTAAACTTTTTTTTTTTCAAAGCTTATATTTCTGGGTTTCCCCTCCCACGATAATTTGTCTATATAGTGATAGTAGATGTTGATTTGTTCTTTATTTTGTCTGGTCTTTGGGTGTTAACTTTACCTTCTTGCAGCCATTGTTGAAGTGTCTCCTAGTGGGGATAATGTCTTTCAGACTCCTTGGACCAGAGTTTGATAGAGAGAGCAAAAGAGAACTAACCACGTAAATACCTACGTTTATCTGTTCACATACCACTCAGCTCTATGTAGCGTAAAATTTATGCATCTATGGCTTAAATGTTTCATTTGTTGTTTTGTGCTATAGGCAAATGCCGGATACAGCATCTCTGTTCTATAACCTTTCAAAAAATATTCTAATTCCCTGGCCGCCTGCTTGAGACCACCTCCTTCTGCCATCACTAATACTGATAACTATAGTTTTATTAAATAGATGTTTAAGGACTATTCACATTTTGAAACTCTCTTCTTTGATAATGAGGTTATGAATTCCCTAGTTCTATTTCATTTCACCCTATGATCACTTCCACTTTATATCTTCTAAAATTGTCACAATTTCAAGTCAGTCTTAAAAATTTTTTGTGGTGGAGCATTCTAGAAAAGCTGTGAGGTTATTTTTCTAGTATCTTTTTAATTTTAATGAGATTACAGGAAGAAGAATCAGTGAATATAGGAGCTTAGTTACCCCTTTTATTTCAAAAGTCCTGTCCAACTTTTTGTTTACCTTTTGGATATCAGTATTTCTTATATTTAGTAAAAGTATGCAACTAAAGTATATTCACAATTATATAATACAAATAATAAAATGTACTTATAATTTATCTAAAGTAATTGAAATAAAATACTTATAATAAGTACAATAAAATAGATTTAATTTATAATTCATCTAGTATTGAATAGGGTCACTTAAAAATCTTTTTAAAGTTAATTTAATCTTGCCTGTTATGATCACAAATATCTTATTTATTATGTGTGTTGGTAAATTGTTTTACAATGCAGGTCATTATTATTAAACTAGAATCCCACTGGAATGAGTCTGAAATCAACCTCTTTAACTCAATTATAATATGATTTTACTGTTTGCAGTTATGTATTATTGAATGCAGAGTGATCTGCAATATATCTGCAAAATAAATGTGCATATTCAATTACAATTTCAAATCTTATTGTCTGGAAGCCTGTGGTATCATTTTTTTGTTATTGTTATTGTTTCATTCTTTTAAATAGTCAGACACTTTTATGATTGGACAAGTTTTTTCTATTTATAACGTATTTGTTGAAAGAATTACAATTTTTGTGATATTAAAAATCAAACAATTTCAATACTTATATGTTTATCAGGTTACTGCAGAATCTATGACAGCAACGTAAAAATCAATGGTATGAAAAGAAATTAAAGTTTTGATATCAGAGAACCTAAGTATGTCAGGAGACATTTTCTAGTTCTCCATTCCAAAGACTCAAATATCTTAGTTGTCTGTTTTTCAGGAGTTTATGAATTAGCTCAATAGATCACACCCAGAAGATTTTTTTTAAATGTCAACTTTTGCTTAACATCCTCTACGTAAATTTCCTTACTTCCAGAACAAGTATAGAATTGAGAAAATCTAAACATACGAGCATTTTCTACTGAGAAAGGTCATGAGAAAGTTTGCATCCATTTACTAAGAAATATGCACATAAAAAAGCATTCTTTCCAACCTTCATATGACTTGTGTATAAAAAGTGTACTAGTCAGGTTTCCCTAAAGGCACAGGACTAATAGGAGATATACATATGTATATGTAAATATATATATATACACACACACACATATACATATGAGATATATATATATA
Source organism: Homo sapiens (assembly GCF_000001405.40). Lineage (NCBI taxonomy): Eukaryota > Metazoa > Chordata > Mammalia > Primates > Hominidae > Homo > Homo sapiens. The sequence continues at coordinate 68,437,658 of NC_000006.12, read as the reverse complement.
CACACACACATATGATATATATGTGTGTGTGTATATATGTGTGTGTGTATGTGTGTATATATAATATATATATATGAAAGTGAGTTTATTAAAGAATATTTATTCACAGGATCACAACGTGAAGTCCCACAATAGGCCATCTGCAAGCTGAGGAGCAAGGAAGCCAATCTGAGTCTCAAAACCTCAAAAGTAGGGAAGCCAACAGTGCAGCCTTCAGTCTTTGGCTGAAGGCCAGAGAGCCCCTGGAAAACCACTGGTGTAAGTCCAAGAATCTAAAAGCTGAAGAACTTGGAGTCTGATATTTGAGGGCAGGAAGCATCCAGCACAGAAGAAAGATAAAGTCCAGAAGACTCAGCCAGTCTGGTCTTTCCATGTTCTTCTGTCTGCACTTATTCTAGCTGGGCTGGCAACTGATTGGATGGTGCCCACCCAGATTGAGGGTAGGTCTGCCTCTCCCAGTCCACTGACTCAAATGTTAATCCCCTTTGGCCTCACCCTCACAGACGCACCTGGGAATAATACTTTGCATCCTCCAATCCAATCAAGTTGACACTCAATATTAACCATCACAAAAATATTATCTAAAGATGAAAAAAATAAGACTAATCTGTGTTTTCCATGAATATGTTCATATTCTCCTTAGACTTCATATTTGTTACCTAATTTGAAAAAAGTATGTAAAATCTTTTTGAATGTATTCCAGTTCATATGTAAGCCTTCTCTCTGTAAGTGCACACTAACAGTGAAGACAGAAGACAAAAAAAAGAAACACAGTCTGGGCGCAGTGGCTCACACCTGTAATCTTTGCACTTTGGGAGTCCCAGGAGGGAGGTCAGGAGTTGGAGACCAGCCTGGGCAACATAGAGAAGCCCCATCTCTACTAAAAAATACAAAAATTAGCTGGGCATGGTGGGGCATGCCTGTAATCCCAGCTACTTGGGAGGCTGAGTCAGGAGAATCGCTTGAACCCAGAAGGCAGAGATTGCAGTGAGCCAAGATTGTGCCATTGCAGTCTAGTCCAGCCTGTGCAACAGAGCAAGTCTCTATCCCCGCCAAAAAAGATGAAATATAAAATATAAAAATAAATTATTTAATAGAAAATGTACATGGTCAATAAATGGAGTTAGTAGGCTAATTGTAAGAATAAAAATATAAACTGTTTTTGTCCCTTAAGAAAAGAAGCAAGTGAACTAAATATAAAACTATGCTTCTTCATGGAGTCTATTTGAGATGCTGTAATAGAAACTCCTTATATAAGATACAGACAAATTCAATAGGTTAGTAGTTTAATAATTATCTAAATATCCTATAATTAATCTATTAGAAATAATTCTAAATACACAAACTCTAACCAAAAAAATTATCCAAAGAGCAAAGAAGAGAAGAAATGATTATTTTAATAAAACATTTCAAGTGAAAAAATAATTATAAATTAAGGGAATTTTCAGCACTGAAAACAATCTTGTACAGATATGCAAAGCACTAGTCATAAACTGCCACTGTAGTTTCTCAGCAATTAAATGTTACCTGAGGCGGGGAAAGAAGCCATTGGGCAATTGCCTGAACATATGGGTTGGCTAGGCTAAAATATTCTAACTTGTTATGCCTGCCTTCATGAGGCAAGCAGAATACTACACCAGAAAAATAAGGAATAATTGCATTACTCACATTAACATATTTCTCATTTAACGTGTAAAGACACTGGAACAGTAGCATGTTGGGAGATATAAGCCAGAAAGTTACTTGGACATTTATGAAGTAGAGAAAATAAGACTTAAGGCAACGTTACAGGATGTTTAAGGATATTTCAATTACCAGTGCTCTGGATCAGGTAAGAAAGGAAGGAAAAATTAGGCTTGTACCATTTATCCATTTGATATCATTACTGAGAGGAGAGGTCAAAAAAAGTCAGGAAAAATGACACCTTAAATAAATATATTTTATGGCAGTTGGAGTTATTTGGCTGAATGGTCACCATCCTTATCAATACCAATGCCTATGAATCAAATTATATATATGCATAAAAGACATACTAGTTAATGACAAAGCATTATGGTATCATGCAATGGATAGCTGGGACTGGGGTGTATGTGGCAAGGTGATGACAACGGGGCTATAGAGCAGAGAGAAAGGGGGCAAAAAAGAAGTCAAATATGACTCTGCCTTCCCACAGAGTGCAATTCAGTTGAAGGGAAATGCATTAAGTCCACAAGCAAAGAAAGATAATTGCAGTGTAGATTAGTACAGCATCAATGCCAAAAGCATAGCATATACAACATAGGTTAGCCCTCATTTATTAAAGGAAGCAACTACTGAAGACTTTGGACCAGATTCCTTAATGGAAGTAGCTAGATTTGAGGATGGTATAAATAGTTAGTTAGAACTTCAATATGTAAAGATGGAAGGGAGAGAATTTCAGCTGGAGAATTAAAAGTAGAGATACCAAAGGAAAACGTATATTGAGGGAAGAGTAGAGTTTGTACGCAGGTTTTCTTTGGGGGGTAGTGGAAAGAGATATATTTAAAAAGGCAAATTGGTGCCAGATTGTGGGTTTAATAGTTTCAGCTGCTATTCGACCAATGTGGATATAAAACTACTCTATCTTCTCTGTCAGAATGCTCTCCTTCATTAGACTGTAAGCTTTTCTAAAGCAAGGGCTATGTCTTATAATAATTCTCTGTATATTGCACAGCCTTTACCAGAGTAAACTGCAAATACTTGGTGCTTGACATCTGGCTTTCTTAGAAAGGAGAGTGAATGAAAGAAAAAGTTGGAGTTTATTTGAATGAGTAATGGTTCCCTGGCAAAAATATTCTTGCAGATAGAACCATTCTGTAGTTTCTGTTTCACAGGTGTTTGGAATCATCTTTGCTCCTGCGTGTATATATAAGGCTTTTCTCTAACTTTCCCATTGATTCTAAGAAAGTATCATAGGCTTGCAACAAATTTTTATTTTGCCTAAGGTAATGACAATTTCTGTTTATTAAAAAAAAATGACCCAGTAGATGGCCTCTCTCTCTCTATATATATATACATGAGATATTTTGCAATCTATGGATTCTTCCCTGAAGAACTAGACTGATCATCACAGCAATATTTTCTTTCCAAGAGAAAAAAAAGTGCAATTTTAAAGAAAATGGGATTTAGAAAACTAATGGTTTATTTAAATATACTGTGGCCTGTATGTATGCAGATACATACTGATAAAGTTGAGAAAATTAATTGCTTTTCTCATGTTCCTCACCCAATTTACATCTTCTTACCACCCAAAGAGATACTTTTCAAGACATACGATAATTGGTACTATCAATTTATCAGATTCAGAGTGTAGAAATTATTTTCAGATCACTGAATCAAGAATTCAGTATACAACTTCTGTTAATAACAATGGTTAGGCAAATAATTATTCTTGCTCAGGAATTGAAAACCTTACCATTTTCTAAGTATTTACTTTGGTTTGTAGGAATGTTTATTTGTAACTCCTTAATTCTTTATTATGCAATTCTTGCTATAATACATAAAATGCAAAATGTATTTGTTGATTACAGCAGCATCAACAAGAACCATGTAATGAACTGTTTTCTATCAGTAGTTTAAAAGATATCTCTTCTGAATATTCCTTCTGAAGGAAATGACATGAATGGGATTGATGAGTACATCATATTCAAAGAATAGGTAGAAATAAGCTGAACTATATATTCTGCAAATAATATATGCCAAGTGATATGGTTTGGCTCTGTGTCCCCACACAAATCTGATCTTGTAGCTCCCATAATTCCCACATATTGTGGGAGGGACCCAGTGGGAAATAATTGACTCGGGAGTTGGTCTTTCCCGTGCTGTTCTCCTGATAGCTAGTAAGTCTCATGAGATCTGATGACTTTAAAAAGGGGAGTTTCCCTGCACAAGCTCTCTCTTTCCTGCCACCATCTATGTAAGATATGACTTGCTCCTCCTTGCCTTATGCCATTGTGAGGCCTCCCCAGCCATGTCAGCTGTAAGTCCATTAACCTCTTTTCCTTCCCAGTCTCAGGTATGTCTTTATCAGCAGCCTGAAACTGGACTAATACACCAAGCTGTGTTCTGGGTATTTTGTACAATATTTAATCCTCCAAACAACCCTAAACAAAAGCAGAAAGCCTTCGGCAGATTCCTGTTTTAGAACAAAGTCACCCTTTGAAGCAATTAATTAGATAATTTCATAACAATGCATCCAATTCATTATTTCTGTTCTCACTTTAGTTTGTGAAGAATATAGGGCTAAACAATGCCCTAATTCTTGACTTAGTTGTTAATTTCTATGCAACAAAAAAAATAGGTCCACTTTAAGTAAGCAATGCAGGCCAATCAGTGTGTTCAGTAGTTCATTTTTGCCTGAATGAGCTAAGTTGTTCCATCATAATATCTTTGTAACAGTAAAGACTGATAGAAAGTTGACTTTTATTTTTTTTTTTTTAATGTTTTTTTTTTTTTTATTATACTCTAAGTTTTAGGGTACATGTGCACATTGTGCAGGTTAGTTACATATGTATACATGTGCCATGCTGGTGCGCTGCACCCACTAACATGTCATCTAGCATTAGGTATATCTCCAAATGCTATCCCTCCCCCCTCCCCCGACCCCACCACAGTCCCCAGAGTGTGATATTCCCCTTCCTGTGTCCATGTGATCTCATTGTTCAATTCCCACCTATGAGTGAGAATATGCGGTGTTTGGTTTTTTGTTCTTGCGATAGTTTACTGAGAATGATGGTTTCCAATTTCATCCATGTCCCTACAAAGGACATGAACTCATCATTTTTTATGGCTGCATAGTATTCCATGGTGTATATGTGCCACATTTTCTTAATCCAGTCTATCATTGTTGGACATTTGGGTTGGTTCCAAGTCTTTGCTATTGTGAATAGTGCCGCAATAAACATACGTGTGCATGTGTCTTTATAGCAGCATGATTTATAGTCCTTTGGGTATATACCCAGTAATGGGATGGCTGGGTCAAATGGTATTTCTAGTTCTAGATCCCTGAGGAATCGCCACACTGACTTCCACAATGGTTGAACTAGTTTACAGTCCCACCAACAGTGTAAAAGTGTTCCTATTTCTCCACATCCTCTCCAGCACCTGTTGTTTCCTGACTTTTTAATGATTGCCATTCTAACTGGTGTGAGATGATATCTCATAGTGGTTTTGATTTGCATTTCTCTGATGGCCAGTGACGATGAGCATTTCTTCATGTGTTTTTTGGCTGCATAAATGTCTTCTTTTGAGAAGTGTCTGTTCATGTCCTTCGCCCACTTTTTGATGGGGTTGTTTGTTTTTTTCTTGTAAATTTGTTTGAGTTCATTGTAGAAAAAAAAAAAAAAAAGAAAAAGAAAGTTGACTTTTAGTTCACAAGGTAATGCTACTTTCTGCCTTTTCTACCTCAGACAGATGACAAGTTTGTTATGGCAGTTCTAGGCAGCACATCTATAGAGCTACTGGCCAGAACTAGGTACAGGGATCATCCTTTCAGATATCTTCATAGAAAAGAGGACAACTTTCCAGTGAGTATTCTAGCAGATTTCCTCTCTTGTCTCAAAAGTCAGCAAAGTGTTAACCTCATAAGTATTCATAAACTTCTGCTTTCATTCATTATTCTCAATGTAAAAACTTTCAGGTTTTCCCATTTAGACTGTACATAAACTTAGTTGGGCAATAGAACCACCATAACATATTTGAATTATTAAGCACTTAGCCAATGAACTGGGTAGTGGGTGTCACCTTTTCTTAAGTTACATGAGGGAGAGGTAGACACCTGAACAAAACTAGTCTCTGATAGTAAGGTTGAAAGAGAAACGAATATCAAGCAGGCTCTTAATGGTCTGCTATACTGTGTCTGCATTAATATATTAAAATTATATTTGGTTACTCTTACTGATTAAGCAATGTATGATATCTTATGTCATGCCTACATTTCTACAGTTGCCATCAAACATCAACAATACTGGTTCTTTTCCTCATTTTTATTTCCAGAAAGTATTTTTAGAAATGATCTGCAAAAGATCTGTCAGAATCCTAGTTGCATTTAAGCTTTATCCATTAGCAGCTGAATTCAATTAATAATAATCCTAGCTCAATATATTCTATTATAACATCTAGTTTTTAACCATCATTTTTTCAAACACAAATACTTATAGACTCCAATGACATGTTTGTAATCTCCAGGGGTACATGAATTACAGCTTGAGAAACACTATATAAAAAGTTAAAAGTCCAAATTTGGAGATTTTGCAAAACTAGATCAAGTATAGACTAACAGAAACACATGAGGCAAAGCTACTTAATTATTTGAGTCCATAAAAGGAAATAATGCCATTCAGTAAACTAGAAAATTGGATTCTGGTTCTGTCTCTGTTGATAACTGTCACTTTGAGAAAGTCTCGAACTCTTCTCCATAGTTTCTTCATCTTTAATGCGTTCCTGCCATAAAGAACTCCATGTAGTTAAAACAGTCATATGTGGATTGATTATATGAAATTCTGCCCTGAAGGAAGTTACCACATTTTTTGGAAAATGAAAATTGAATTGGAAGAGGCTATATACACAGATATAATCATGTATTCATTCACATTTCAGTATGAACAGAATATAAAAATAATTTTAAATAATTTTAATATTTTTAAAAAACTTATTTTTAAACTCTAGGTTTACATAAGATGCAAAGAGTGCAGAGAATTCCTGCGTATCTTTCACCCAGCTTCCTTTAACGCTACTATCTTTTGTAATCATTATATACTTGCCAAAACTAAGAAATGAAAATCACTAAAATATTATTAATTAATGTATAAACTGTGTTCACATTTCACAAGTTTTTCCACTAATGTCCTTTTTTGTTCCAGGCTTCAATGCAAAATGCCATGTTGTGTTTGGTCATCCTGTCTCTTTAGTGTTTCCAGGCTGTGACTTTTTCAGTTTGTCCTTGTTTCTCATGATCTTGGCACTTTTGAAGGTTACTGATCAAGTACTTGGTAGAATATACCTCAGTTTGGGATACATATTTTTCAATTCATAATTCCCAAACTATGGGTTTATGAATTTTGGAGTAGAATGACACTGAGGTGAAGTGTCTTCTCATCAATTTAGACTGCACAGAAATATTAACATAACTTATTACTGGTAATGTTGAACTCAGTTATGGTAGTATTTGCCAGGTATCTCCACCGTGTAGTTTCCATTTTTATCTTTCTGTACTCTATTACCTGGAAGCAAGTCATTGAGTCTGGTTCACTGGAGACATTACCCACAAATTTATTTTTGCTAAATGATTCTAAAAACAATTACAAAACCATTATTTGTTAAGCCAAAATCTATCTGAGAAGGTTTACAGCCATTTTAGATATATTTCCCTAGAGGGGAACAAACAAATAAAGTAGTTTATATATCTATGTGTTGCAACTAGAAAAGGTAAAGTTTTCCCCAGATGTCTCCGATTTCTAAAATGTGCTAATAAGCATATCAAGAAGTTAATCTTGCATAGGTCAAAAGAATGGAGATATAACCAGAGACTAATTTTTGCAGTAAATACAACATTTTCAACGTGTCAGCTGCTTTTGAAAGCTGAATGAATTCATACGGAAGGTGAGAATACATTTAGAATCAGAAGCATGACTACTCCCGTGGCCTTAAATTGTTGTTTGATGTAACATGGAAAAGTGCCTAATTTGCTTTCAGGTAGCAGCTTTCTCAGTAGAAGAATGAGCACTATTTCAAATATATTTTGCATTAGGCAACATTTCTCAAATTATGGGCTACATTCACTTTATGTGTCATAGAAAAGTCTCTCAGTAAAATAGAAATGTTGCCATATATTTATATATTCATTTACTCATTGATATTTTATGTATGTATTCTTGAAGTATAAATACAAAACAAAATGAAAAATATTTGTATTAGCACAGAAAAAATTCTTGAGAAATCCATTAAAAGTATTTTTTCATTTGCCTCCTTAACTTCCATCAGATGAACCTCTCAAACACACATACACATACACAGAAATTCACTATTTCTTTTAGAGATTTTTGTCAGTATTACAAGTATGGTTGATATCAGCTTTGAAATCACCTTCACCAACATGAATCAATCAGCCATCAAGTTTTATTGATTCTTCCTTAAAAATAACTCTTTAATTTAGCACTTTCTTTACATTCTTATTGACTTTGCATTAGTTCAGGCCCTCATACCTGAACCATCAAAATAACTTCCTTCCCAATAGCCTTTCCTCATTCCTGTCTTTTCTATCATTTATTTGATGCCTTATCAAGTGAGATTCCCAAACATTGTATAGAATATATGTTTTTGATAAAAATTATTAAATTATTCTCTATTTACACAGTAATATCTCAGACATTATTGTCTTGCTCTCATATATGTTTATAAATTGTAGCGAGTATTCCTAAATTGCCTATTATACTTTTTCCTATATTTTAAAAATGTGTTTTTTTGTCATCTTCTAGGTGATGCCTCTTTCCCCATCCTAAACATGTTCATTCTAGTAGAACCCTTTCTTTTAGAGGGATTCTGCATCCTTGGCTTTGCATTGATTGGTCTGAGATTCAGCACTTGTTATGATATAGGTCAATTGTATTATTCATTGTGATGGCTACAGTTAATTTAATCTCAAAGAATAAACACAGCCACACACTGAGACAACTATAATATTTCTCCAGTTTTGTATTTACAACCAAAGAATACAAGAATAAAAGGAGGTGGGGAGGCAAATGAAAAAATACTTTTAATTGATTTCTCAAGAATTTCTTCTATGCTAATACAAAAAAAAGAAAGGAAATCTTAATGCCTTCCCAGTGACAAACTTGGAGATATGAAGGCTGAACATTGATACTGGTTACATTTTCTGCCATGTGTAGACAGTATGAAAGAATGAAGCCAAGATAGTGAAGGGTATCTTCTAAAGAGGGAGATTGGTGGCATTCAGATTCCTTACTCTGGGAAACCAGGCTTGCAAATAGCAAAATATCAAGAAAAACCTAACCAAACCACAGAAATAGTCTGAAGATGGATCTGGACATTGGATGTCATCTCTAACACCTCCACCACCTGATGTCACTGCTGTTGCCACTAGAAGGAATTTTCAACCATCTATTTCTTTGCCTCGAGTATTCCAGATTAAAGTCCCAGATGAGAGTGTCTGATTGTCTGACACGGGATATGTATATTCACGCTGGTTCCTAAGACTTGACATAAGCAAATGTTTGCTCTTAGGTTTCTGATATGTAGGTGAATCTCACCTCCCACCAAGAATCACACTGTGGCAGACTGCCAGATATAAAGTCAATTCAGGGGCTGGTCTGACCCCCCAAAAATATCCAATACTCAGAGTCTTTGAATTAGTTTTCTTTTCTGCCTGAGCTAGTTTCAGGAATTTCTATTGTAAAAATGATTTAGACCCATACATTAGTCATACGTTAATCAATAAGTAGCTCACATGTCCTGAGAACTAAATATATGCCAGGTACTTCATATTCATTATTTTATTTAATTTTCATAATAACTTTATGAAGTAAGTGTTAGTCTTCTCAGTTTTATAGATGAATAAATGGAGGTTTAGTGACATTGAGTAACTTGTTATAGACTACACTTGTCATAGACTACCCAATCAAGTAATGACAAAGCAGTGATTTAAACTCAGGTTCTTAACTTTTATATGATATTGCTTACATATTGGTACTGCCTTATCATTTCTTGCATTCTTTTGAAATTATTATTGCTTACATCAAGTAACCTCACAGCCATTCCCACTTATTCACTGAAAAATTTGACTCCTGGCTCACTGCATTACTCACCACCCACATCCTTATATGTTGACCACACACATGGATGAATCTCTTAGAATCTTGCTTATTTACCCCTGAGCATTAACAACCTTTCACTCCATTCTACATCCCTCACTCACTTACTGGATCCATCCTGAACTTTGTTATCATCATTAATTGCAATGATTTCAAAATCCAATTTTAAGCATTTTATTCTCTTTTCTACTTTCCCACTTATTCTAGTACCCTTAATGAAACTAAATTATTTGTATTATAAAGTTGTAAGAAATTTTTATATAAGTACCATTCTCTTATCAGATAGATTATATTGAAATGTTTTTCTTAAATTTATGAGTTGACTTTTTACCTGAATGTATCTTGAACATTTGCTTTAAGGAACACAGTTGTATTTTTTATGAAGTCCAATTTTTCTATTTTTTTCTGTTTTCATTTGTGGTTTTGGTTTTATCTCTATAATGATTTTTCTAACCCAATAGACAATTAAAATACTTCTATATTTTTTTCTACAGATCTTATAGCTTTAGCACTTCCATTTAGATCTATAATACATATCGAGTTAATTTTTTTGTGTGTTATGTGAGGAAGGTATTCAATTTCATTCTTTTGCATGTGATTATATACTTTTCCTGCTACCATTGTTGTAAAAAAGACTATTGCTTTACTTTTGAATTTTCTTGGAACCTTTGTTAATAATTCATTGACCATAAATATTCAATTACGTGGATCTATGTTTATTACACTGTCTTGATTACTATAGCTTTATAGTAAATTTCGAAATTGTGAATTGAGTCTTTCAACTTTGTTCTTGTGCAGGATGGTTTTGTCAATTCTGGGCCCCTTCTATTTCCATATGAATTTTAGGATCAGAGTGTTAATTTATACAAAAAGCCATCTCCATAGTTTTGAATTTCTAATTGTAATACTACTGAGCTCAATACGCATTTTCATTAGATTAGCAAAATACAATTTTTTTTCTGAATTGCTGTTTATTAAGTTTGGAGTAATTTTCTTTGTAGATGGGATTCAAACTAAAGAAATTGAGGAAAACATAATTTAGTTATGAAAATTCTAAGATTTAACAGAGCCAGGATTGCCTGGGATATAATAAAAAACATGATTTTGAGGACAATTCTTTTTTTCTCTTTGGATAAAGTTAAATGTACTGGCTTGAAAACTGAGTTGTACCTGTGGTTACCATCTTTGTTGATCACTGTCAGAAGCCAAGCAATGTCTTAAGATGCCTTCAGGTAAGGCCAGTCACAAATGCACACTAAAATTCATTAGTTATAAGACAGAAGCAAAATCTATGGCTGTTATTGATATCTGAATATCCATTTTAATTTTGGCCACAGTCATAGATATTTGAGTTTTGGTGCCCTGTGGATTGGCTCTTCTTGCTCATTTTGTAAATGATAATAATATAACTGACTTCCATCTGCTTGCCTAAGATGCTGCCTCTTAGATTGCTTATGTATGCATACAGTCTGATTTTGTGGTTGTGTCAGTACCCTAATTTGACCTCATTTTTATCTCTGTTTTATCAGATTTGAAAAAGTAAGAGCTGCTTTCAGTGTTCAGTGCCTTTTATCTTAAAAGTGGTAGGGATTTATTTCTTTGTTTTACTCAGTACTATTTGAAAAATGCAGATCTTTAGAAAACTGTTACATATTCTTTAAGGTAATAATGGGGTCCAAATGAAGGTTCTGGCCAACTAAGTATTAAATTGATTAACAAAATTTAACACAATTTATAATTCTCTGTGTTCTCTATTATCATAGCTTAATTTTTGTGTATGCAAATTGGAAAACCATCCTGCATATGCTCCTTTATCTTGCTGGCTAAAGGCCTTCCAACCACCTTATCGAAGTAGGAAAAAAGGGTTCTCAGAATTTACTTTGCCACTTTTCTTTTAAATTTTAAATTCAAATAGGAAGGAACAGTTTTTCCTTGCGTTTTTATTCACAAGTAATTTTCAAATTATATTTGCATAACCTTTTGGGATTCTAAAATACACATTTTAGAAAATAGATTTTAAAAGAATAAAAGAATGCTTGAGAGAGAATTAAACACATCCAGGTATTTCCTGACTTTTATTAGGTGGATTTGCAAATTATATATAAAAATATCTTCATAATACACAAGGTTATTTTATCTTAATGAGCATTTCATAATTCCTGTGTTTGTTTTGAGCAAATGTCTTATAAAATATCATATGTATTCATGTTATTATAAATTATTGCTCATTGCCTTTACATATGTTGAAGCATGAAACATTGAAATTAACACAAACACCTTTTCAAATACACTCACATACTTCACTGGTATTTTTATTGCAACTGACTCTACAATTTCTTCTTTCCATTTACTCTATGTGCTAGTCCTTATTCCTTCTACAACTTGACTATAAACTGCTCTTCACAATTCCTCACGTTTTGACCACAATTCCTCTATGAATTACATAATTCATATACTACAAAACCTTATTTATAACATTTTAGTTTATCCTGTGTGTTCCTGTTCTTATCTGTTACTTTGTCTGTATGGACAGCAGAGCAGATATGTTATTGACAATATTACTGAATAAGTGTGTATGGCTGTAACTCCTTTTGGCTGTTGCTGATTTTTAATAGTTTATATCCTCCTCATATTAATGCTTAAATAATTCACCTAGTTTTACCACCTCTTATTTCATAACTGACCTCCACATTGCCACATGTAAAACATTAAGAAAAAATGGTCTTAAATTTTTTATTCTGAAAATTTGATTTGTAGGTTATTGCAATTAAATAAATCACATGTTTTTGAGGCATCTCTCTTACTTCATGCCTGCAGAAATGGCAGGATGGCACTTCATTTCTTTCTTCTATTCTCTGTTATACTGAATAAAGCAGCAGAAACTTTGTTAGCATAACATTCAAGAGTGTTAGGACATGAGGCAGTTTAAATTAGCAAAGGAGATATCTGGCTTTATCTTATTCTCTCTGAATATCTGAAAGTGTCTTATTCAGCATTCAAATCAGGAAGCTGATCATTCTTTTCAAGGATGGACCTTGGAAGGAAAATGGAACCTGCAATAGCTGATTACAACACCAAGTTATTTCTACAACTATTGGAGGTTTACTGAGGGCAGAAAGAGATATAGAGATTATATGGGAATAATGGGGAAAAGTGGAGGATGCTGAAAAAATAAGGGAAAATCTAAATGCTGGTTTGAGGTGAACTTTGAAATGCCTCATAAATGACTTTGTAACTAATATTTTGGATCATGACAACGCTTTATATGTATTTATGATCTACTAATGGGAAAGCTTGCTTTCTTATAATAAACTGTAGCCACATGCCACTCCAGGCTTTAAAAGCAAAATGAAGGAATTACAAGAAGAGTGAAGACTTGGGTGTGGAAAATTTTAACTTGAGTCCTATGTCTGCCTACAGCAGTATAAATATCTGGCTTGAACTAGAAAAGCACTACCGTGATGTTGAAACTGGCAGAAAGAAATGGGCCTAAAGATCACATAAGCAGTAATGGTGGAGAGAGATGAGGTAAAAGCTAACATTGTAACATCCCCAAGCCTCCAGGTTAGTGGAAAGATCAGCAGTGAATAGTTCAATAAGAAATCCAGAGCTTATCATGGAAGGGAACAAGGGAGAGTGGTTTACATACTGAAGATTTGTGTAAAATATTGTTTTTTGAAAGGGAGTAAAGATGTGCAGTAGGACAGAAATGGTAAGAAGCTCCAGGCACACTACCACATTAGGATTCCAGATTGAAACACAGTGGAAAATAATAGATAAGGTAGACAACTTCTTCTGGATTTGACCAGGCATTAAAATGCATTTTTTGTGTCTGGTAAAACATAGTAAAATGCCATATTTTGGGGTGGAGTTGGTGAGGAGTAGAGATACAAAATTTGTGTCATGGAGTTTTTAACACATCCTGTAAATGGCATAATAATGACAATGATCAGCTAAGATTCATAGTTTGGATATAATGCTTTGAAAGAAAGCAGAATGGATATCTGTGTCTGCAAGTGACTCACTGGAAGTTTTAGAGAGGTCTTTAACCAGTAAAAGTATGATAGGCCTGTGACTATCCAGCAGAGACAAGAAAATTCAAATTGTTTAACAATCTGCTTTTTTTTTTTTTTAAACAAGAATAGTAGGAGAAGGTGAAGGAATGGATGACTCTTGGAGATATAAGAATAAGTGGAGCCAGGCGCCGTGGCTCACACCTGTAATCCCAGCACTTTGGGAGGCCGAGGTGGGCGGATCACGAGGTCAGGAGTTCGAGACCAGCCTGACTAACATGGTGAAACCCCATCTCTACTAAAAATACAAAAAATTAGCCAGGCATGGTGCGGGCACCTGTAGTCCCAGCTACTCGGGAGGCTGAGGCAGGAGAATGGCATGAACCCACGAGGTGGAGCTTGCAGTGAGCCGAGATAGCGCCACTGCACTCAAGCCTGGGTGACACAGTGAGACTCCGTCTAAAAAAAAAAGCGTAAATGGAAAAAACAATACGAAGAATATATACTGTACAATTCTGTTAGATACAGTCAAAAATAACAAAACCAATCTCTGATGAGAAAAGCCAGGATGCTTTGTACCCTAAAGGGTAGTGACATGGTGGGAGCACACCAAGGCCTCTAGGATGCTAGATGACATCTTTCTGTTTCTTGCTCTGGATGCTAGATTCATAGATGTGTTCTCTATGAATTGTGAAAATTCATCTCTATGAACACTTGTGATTTGTGCAATTTTTTATATGTGAATTATTCAATGCAAAATTTACTGAAATAATTTAAAAATAATGATTATGTAAGTATAGCAAGGGAAAAAATAATATAAATGGATATATCTTGAAACTTTGAGAAAAGACCAAGAGGAGAATGAGCCTAGAGTTAGATCAACCAGTTAGGGAAGAATGGAAATTTGGCAACTTACCTTCTGGATCCGATCTTTGAACTCTACTTGGATAGGAAAGACAGTGTCTGCATGGTGTGATTTGTCTTTTGTGTCTCAGAGCACAGAGAGAAGGGAAGAAATTCTAAAACCTGACCCTCCTTTGTCCTTTAATGTCCTGTGTCACCCATTTGCCATATCCAAAGGAAACTAGTTGGAAAGGAAGCCTGAATGACACATTTTATATGAGCCAGTCTTTCAGGTATAAATCAAGGTCAGAGAATAGTTCTGGATGGACTAATAAAAAATAACCTTAGAAAAGAAGTTGATACCTAGTGAAACAGCTTGTTATGAAATTTACTAGTATACCTACTTATTACAAATAAACACATTAGCATTTCTTAGTAACCTTATTTAGTATGCTTGATACAACAGCAAGGCTGAACTCAAGCAACTGAATTCTAAAAGGAAGCTGAGAGTCAAGAAAGCTCTGGGAATGGTCAGAAGTCCAAAACTATCACACAGCCTTAAGAATTGAGGTTCTTAAATGGTGGGCGGTTATGACCCTTTATGCCTCTCTGTTATGTTCAATTTAGCTTCTGTGCCTGCTGTTTCATTAGAGACTATTTCTCCTTAGCTACCTCTGTTTCAAAGATATCTTCCCAAATTAAGATGCCACTGCTGAAATGTCAACAGCTGGAAATGTATATTTAATTGTTCTTCCAGGAGAGAAAATATGTTCCACCCATCCCATTGGGATCATTGACTTGCTTTCCTGGGATGGCTGGCCGCACTTAATGGTGTGATTTGTGTTGGTAGAACAGCTTTGTTGTTGTTGATGTTAAGGTTTTTTCATGCAGAACTATATTGTTTCATGCAATTAGAACTATAACCTTGTGCCATTAACAATTTTCTAAATAACTGAGAAACAACCTATATCCTTTTACTTAAATGGTGAGAATTCAATGTGATTGTCACTCACAAGTGAAATATTTAATCAAATAGCTTCTATGAGGTAAACTATCTTGGTTTCCTTCATATTAATTCTAATTTATAAATCAAGTGACCATTCATACTAAATATACAGCTATGTTTATACTTCAACTTTCTTTTCTGTTATACACATATGCATATACATATTTCTTTAAGGGTCTATTCCTCCAAAATAAATAAATAAAATATAATAGCTATACCTTTAAATGCTGATTTTTTTTATAGAAGGCAATTTCCGATGATTTAGCCTTTATCCAATGCATATACTTGGTTTGTAAATACACAACACAAACCATTAGCAATCTTAAAAGCCATTTGGCATATCAATAAGTTAATCATAATTCTCCTTGATATCAGAGCTCATTTCACTGCTCATTAACAAAGATATAATTAAACTTGTAGCTTAACATTTTATTTTCAAAACCACATGTGTTTATAAAACTATCCAAAGATAGATCCTCCAAGGTTGGAAAATGTAAGTATAGTTCTACAAACTCATTGTTATACATGAAATAAAATAATTTTACTAAATGGTCAATATCTAAATCAATAGTAAATTTTTCAAGCATCTGGGTATGAAAACATTTGAAATTCTTTCATAAATAAAAAAGCAAAGAAAGTTGTCTCAATACCACTTTAAAAAGCAGGCATATGACTCTGTGGCTGCTTTACTAAGGTGCTAACAATCCCTTCAGATGCCATCAATGTTTACTGACTAGAACATTCAAGTCCAATCACCAATAGCACACCTACTTTTGGGGAGTATATTAGTCCATTCTCACCCTGTGTTAAAGAACTACATGAAACTGGGTAATTTATGAAGAAAAGGGGTTTAATTGACTCACAGTTCCACAGGCTATACGAGAAGCATGGTTGGGGAGGCCTCAGGAAACTTACAATCATGGAAGAAGGGGAAGCAAGCATGTCTTACCATGGTGGAGTGAGAGAGAGAGTGAAAGGGAGATGATACATTTTAAACAACCACATCTCATGAGAACACTCTCATTATCATGAGAAAAGCAGGAATCTGTCCCCATGATCCAATCATCTCTCACCAGATTTCTCCCTCAATATTGAGAATTACAATTTGACATGAGATTTGGGGGGGAACACATAGCCAAATCATGTAATTCCTCCCCTGTCCTCCTCCAAATCTCATATCCTTCTCACACTTCAAAACACAGTCATGCCTTCCCAACAGTCTCCCAGTCTTCATTTATTCTAGCATTAACTCAAAAATTCAAGTCTAAACTCTCTCTGAGATAAGGCAAGTCATTTCTGTCTATGAGCCTGTAAAATCAAAAAAAGTTAGTTACTTCCAAGATACAATGAGGTTACATGCACTGAGTAAATGTCCCCATTCCAAATGGGGGAAATTGACCAAAACAAAGGGGCCACAGGCCCCATGTAAGTCCAATACCTGGCCAGGCCCATTATTAAATTTTAAAGCTCCAAGATCCCTTTGGACTCCACATCTCACATCCAGGGCATACTGATGTAAGTGCTGGGCTCTCATGGCCTTTGGAAGCTCTGCCCATGTGGCTCTGCAGGGTATAGCCTATGAGGCTGCTTTTGCTGGCTGGTGTTGAGTGGCTGTAGTTTTCCAGCTGCATGGTGCAAGCTGTTGTGTATCTACCACTCTGGGGTCTGGAGGATGGTGGCCCTCTTCTCACAGATCCACTAGGCCATGCCTTAGTTGGGACTCTGTGTGGGGCTCCAACCCCAAATTTCCCCTCTTCACTGCCTTAGTAGAGGTTCTCCATGAGGGCTCCAACCCAGCAGCAGATTTCTCCCTGGACATGCAGGCATGTCCATACATCCTCTGAAATCTAGGCAGAGGCTCCCAAACCTCAACTCTTGCCTTCTATGTACCTGCAAGCCAACACCACAAGGAAGCCACACAAAGGCTTGGGTCTTGTACCTTCTGAAGCAATGACCCAAGCTGTACCTTGGCCCCTTTTAGCCATGACTGGAGCTGGCATGGCTGGAATGTAGGGCACCATGTCCTGTGCCCTGGGCCTGGCCCTTGAAACCATTTTTCCCTTCTAAGCCTCCAGGCCTGTGATGGGAGGGGCCACTGCAAAGTTCTCTGAAATGCCCTGGAGCCATTTTCCCCATTGTCTTGATGATTAACATTCAGTTCCTTAATTATGCAAATTTCTGCAGCCTTGAATTCTTCCGGAGAAATGGGTTTTTCTTTTCTACTGAATTGTTGGGAGGTAAATTTTCCATACTTTTATGTTCTGCTTCCCTTTTAAATATAAGTTCTAGCTTCAGATAATCTCTGTTTATGCAAATGAGTATACACTATTAGAATCAGCCAGGCCATATTTTGAATGCTTTGCTGCTTAGAAATTTCTTCCACCAGATATCCTAAATCATCTCTCTCAAGTTCAAAGTTCCACAGATATCTAGGGCAGGGGAACAATGCTGCCAGTCTCTTTCCTAAAGCATAGCAAGAGTGACCTTTACTCCAGTTCCCAATAAGTTCCCCATTTCCATCTGAGACCCCTCAGGCTGGACCTCACTGTTCATATCACTATTAGCAGTTTAGTCACAACCATTCTACAAGTCTCTAGGAAGTTCCAAACATTCTCTCATCTTCCTGTCTCTTCTGATCCCTCCAAAATGTTCCAACCTCTGCCTATTACCCAGTTTCAAAAATGCTTCTACATTTTCAGGTATCTTTACAGCAATACCCCAATCTTGGCACCAATTTTTTGTATTAGTCTGTTCTCACACTGCTATAAACAACTACCTAAGATTGGGTACTTTATGAAGAAAAGAGGTTTAATTGACTCAGAGTTCTGCAGGCTATACAAGAAGCATGGCTGGGAGGCCTCAGGAAACTTACATCATAGCAGAAGGTGAAGGGGAAGCAAGCACATCTTACCATGGTGGAGCAGGGGGAAGAAAGAGAAGAAGTGCCCCACAATTTTAAATGAGATTTCATGAGAACATGCTCACTATTATGAGAACAGCAAGGGGGATTTATGCCCCCATAATCTAATCCCTTCCCACCAGGTTCTTCCCCCAACATTGGGAATTACAATTCAACATGAGATTTGGGTAGAGACACAGAGCCAAATCATATCAAACAGTATCAAACTATAAGTTGACTTGTATGTGCTATTAACTTGTATATGACTTGTATGTGTATCTGATTTACTATATGTTACAAATTTTGGGGGATTCACAGTCCAGGCTCATTGCTTTTGTGTTTATGCTATATAGAATCGCAGCATAAGCTAGTTATCTTTAATTAAACAAGACCTAAGTTATGATACAACAGTGTAAAAAAACTATTACAGTTTACAAGTTCTCTAAATATTAATAGCATTGTTACTCCCAAGGAAACAACACTTGAGGGGGCCAAAAAATCAGATAATGTTGTCAGGTAGATATGACCACTCTGAAAGATTTGTCTTTATTAGTTTGCAAAACTCTTGATGACAAGAGATGATCATATTTGCGCCTGTGACTCTATTGCCTATTACAGTGCATGGCATATTATTGTTTCTTGAAATATGTTTACCTAATTGACAAATGGTTATATACAATCTGGGCACTGGCAAACATAGAGGGCTGATTAAGATAAATGTCAATTAATAAAATAGTACCCACATATATAAATGCTTCTTTATAGTAATGACATTTTGCATAAATGCATTTTCATCTAAACAAAACAAGGAAACCTATATGACTGCATGTAGAAATTTGACAGATTAGGAATTGAAGCTCTCATTCAAATTACAAATATTTTAAAAATTACGGAGTACTTATGATATAATAATTCTGGCCTATAGAACACTTCATGAAGTGTTTTTACTGCTCTTTGGTTTCCTATTTTTTAAATAAATTTTTTTCCTTTCTCTTTATTTATAAGATATTGATAACCGCACAGTGAAGAGATAATAAAATTCTTAACAGAGCTATGATAACAATAGCCAAAGAAGCCTCTAATGCCTCCAATTTCTAAATTTTATTGAACTACTCCCTGTTCTCTCCCACATGAATTTTTCTGGATCAAGTACAATACCAGTGGAAATTAATTTTCTTCTTTCTTGAAGCCTGGGTAGTACAGTTAAATCCCTTGACATAGATAGATATTATGATGTTGTTAAAATGTCTACCATAGAATATATTGTACAGTAGGTACAATCTGACCTACTTAACTCTACTAAATTATTATTTTTTAGTATATTAGCTTTTTAGTTCTCAAATTGCAGATCATGGGTTAAAATAATAGAGGATTTTAAATAACTCTTACATACGTATTTTCCCCTTCTTTACCTTGGAAAGGGTCAGCTCATTTGCAGTTTATCAAAAACATATGAACACATTATATTGTTTTGAAAATATGTATACTTTTTAAGTTTCCCTGACTTAACATCTAAAATATAATACATAATAGAAGAGTTACTAAAAGAAGATTTTAACACACCTAGAATTTCTATGGTTTATCCATTAAGAACATATAAAATCTCTCTAAGAATTCTTATTGCTATGGGAACAATTGACACTGGGAATTACTAGAGGAGAACGCAGAGTGGGACAGGGCTGAAAAATTATCTATTGGGTACTATACTCACTACCTGGGTGATGCGATCATTCATAACCCAAACCTCAGCATCGGGCAATAAACCCATATAATAAACGTGCATATGTACCCCCTAAATCTAAAATAAAAGTTGAAATTATAAGAAAAACTACTGTTGATTACATAGACAGAACTTAGTATCCAAGTATTATATTTTTAGTTTTGGAATCATTTTTAATAATTAGGCAGTGTTAAACATTATTGATGATTATTATTGTTCCTTACATAAACTTCCATGATTCTTTCAGGCACCAGAATTTTTACCATTTTTCTTCTTTATGTATTAACTGTAAGATAGTATAAAAAAGATAGGAATCCCTATGTCAGAGAAGGCAGCCTGCAGCACAATCTGGAAGACTAGGTGACTATTTCTGCTATTTAGAACCACCTGTCTCCTCAATATACTATTTTTCTAAACCCAGGAAGACTTCTTCATGACAACTTTTGACTGAATGAAGTTGAAATCCCTATATTTGAAGCCAAACTTTCTGACAATAAAATATACTTTTCAATTAAAATGTTTTCACAAGAAAACATAGTTTCAACATCTCTCTCAATTAAGCTACCAGGTATCTATATGTGAATAAGTACACATTTTGAAATGGGAAGGGTATTGTTTAATACAAAAAAATAACAAACCTTACCTCCACCAGACCAGATAAGTATAAGGCCTGAGGAGGAAGTGGGCTGGGAGCTAATTCCAGGCATGGCATCACATATTATCTTCTAAGGCTAACTTCAGTAAAATCAAAGGGGATGATTTTCTTTTTTAAGAGTGTAGTGGATTAGAGAACCTAAATGACTTCCTGTTTCAAGACATCTAGGAATGATTAAAAATAAAACCAATATCCTTTTAAATACCACCTGGCTGAACTCACAAGAAAGCGTGTGAGATTACTCAGAGAACTACAACAAAGATGGAATTGAAAACTGGAGTGGTAAGCGCTGGAGCTGATACTGCAGAATTCCTGAGTAGGTCTTTACCTGGGAGAAAAGGCTTGGACTCCTGCAGAGTGGAGAGTTGAAAGTGATTGTATTGCCTACACCAAGAACTCTCAAAAAGCTATACTATTAGTCAAATGTATAAACCAGGATGAAAAACTCACCAGCACAGTGAGAAATCAAAGTTTTCTCTCTTGGCCTTAGTTCTGAGATTGTTTTTTTTTGTTTAAAGATTTTTAAATGTTAGTCTGTCACATCTGAGTTTGTGGTACACATTTAGCAACACCTTCATGGTCCAAGAAGTTCCAACTTAAAAAATAGCAAAATAATAACAAACTTTGTCTCAAGTAAGTTATACCACTGAGATACCTGGAAGAAACAAATGTAAAACCTTTCTGGACAAAAAGTAATTCAATCAAGGCTGCAGAAGATTCCCACAAAGTATTCCTGAAATAATTTTTATATCCTAAAATTACAAATACACTAGGACACAAGTTACCATGAATGAGATCCAGACATGACACATAGCATTATTTGAGGCCAAGAATATTATATAACAAAATTCCTAGACAGATATTGTATAATACATATATCGAAAATGAATGGGTAAAAAATATTATCAAAACCAAGTGAAAAAATTGTCTTAAAATTCAATAGTACCAAATAGAAATCTACAAATTAAAATTTTGACAGGCAAGTAAAACCACAAATTAAATACTGCATGAAGAGAGTCAGAAAGCAACAAAGAAGGATGAGGGAATGAAATTTATGAAGAAAGTGTTAAGTAAAATAGAAAAGAATAAAAATGTCAGCATATATTTAATAGCCATTCTAGAGAGAGTAAAGAGAAAAGAAGCAATATTTGAACATTTCTAAGATTCTAAAAACACATTAATCCTTATATCTAGAAATAACAAGTATCAAGCAAGATAAAAATAAAGAAGGAATGAAGGAAGAAAGAAAATCAATATGTACCCATAGCATCAAACTCCAAAGTCAAAGTGATCTTAAAAACAGGAAGACCTATCACCATCAAATAAATAATACTTTGATATATTGATTTTACTAGCAACCATATGAGCCAGAACTCAAGGAATACTCTGCAAGATGCTAAGAAAAAATAATCGTTAGCACCTAATACTCTCAATTAAACTATCATCCAAAAATAACAGAAAAATAAAGATTTTTTGGCATAGACTTAAAGAGCTTACCACTCATAAACCCGATTTATTACTACTAAAACACTAAACCATGTCTTTTGAGAAGAAAGAAAATGAACTCAGATGCGACAAACAGTTGTACAAAGGAATGATGAGTAAAGAAACTTCGTTTTTAGATAAATAGAAACAATAAAAGAATAATAACAAAAGTATTTATTTGAGGTTTTAACACAAGGACCACAACATGTAACATTCACTACATGAAAGAGTAGTAAATAGAATTAACTCATCCTAAGATCCTTGTATTATGTATGTGAAAACAAGATATGTTATTAAATTTTATCTCCATTGTAAAAATGATGTATATTAAAATGTAAGAATTACAACTATAAGAGTAGAAATAGAATGCAGAGATTTCAGATAAATAGTTGGGAAATAATTGAATTTTTAAAAATCTTAATCATCTCCAAAGAAGACAGGTAAAATAGAAAACACAAAAGCATAATAAAAAGTTGAGAAGTCGAACCTTCAAAAATTATGGAAACAAGTGGACATATTGTAGTATGTTATATATACAAGTGCACTAAATAGTTAAGTATAAAATTGTCAAGCTGGATCTGGAAGCAAAATCAATGTATGCAATTTACAAGTGGTTTATCATCAAAAGCCATGTGGACAATACAGATATAAGATGAAATGGTACTTAAGGCAAAAAGCAATATTGAGGAAAAAATGATCACTATATAACTATGAAATAAAAGAAACAAAAACATGCAAGTTTTTATGAGATTAAGTAAGAACAGTGGAAAATGGATGGGATTATTATCCCTATAGTAATGTCTCCTTTTATACTTATAGTGTAGCTTGTAATTTTAAATGTTTTAATACATTAAGAAATATAAGAATTCTAAATTAAAATACTCAAAATAACAGTGTCATAGACAGAATTGAATGGATTATTTGATAAATCTTAATCATAAATGTTAATACTTCTCAGAAATTAATAGATCAAAAAGAAAAATGTATAAGGGCAGAGAATATTTGCTATAAAATCAATATTTTTGCGTCAATGGACAATATGAATGATATATAACCTTTATAAACATACATGGACAGGTGTATTTGACATGGATTAGGTAGTCTGTGCAGAAAACATAGACCACTTTTAAGAATTTATATAATGAAGATCTCAATCTTTCAACATATACATAGAAATTTACTTAAAGTCATACATATATAGCATATAATATATACAGATATATATACTATAGTCAAACCATTTTTAGATATATTATACCCATAAATGCTTATATTTGAAAAAATACCATTAATAAAATAAAGATAAGGTCAAGAGCTAGAAAAAGAGCTACAGAGTAAACAGAAAGTAGAAAAAAGGAAATGACAGAGAAAAAAATTAAGGAATAGAAAATAAAGTTATAGTAGAGTGAATTAAAGCCAAAAATGGTTTATTAAAAATTATAACAAAATAAACAAACCTTAGGTAAAATTAATCAAAATAAGAGAGAGCAAAACTTAAAATATGTGAACAAAAGTATAAACACAAAAGAGAATGATAAAAATATAATGTTTGTGCCACTAAATATGAAAACATAGACATTATGAACAATTTCTTCGGAAACTACAACTTGACTAACGACTCAAGAAAAAAAAAAACACTGGACAGGTTTATACATTTTAATAATATAATTACTTCTCAAAAGTCAGCCAAAGAGCCACTAGACACAGATAGATTTAGAATCAAGTTCTAAAAATGATTGAAGATAAAGTATTTTGAAATGAAACTTTTTAAAAATGGACAAAGATGTTTTATTCATCTTATGAAACTGTAAATTATATTCATTTTATGAAACTGAGAAATATAATTGAAAAAGGGTATTATGAGAAAGGGGGAATACAGGCCATTCTTATTCTCGAACATGGTTACAAATTTTATAAATTAAATATCAGCAGGCATATTTGGTAGTCTTTAAAAAAGTTTTAATAAGGCTAAGTTGAGCTTATTCTAGGAGTGCAGGGATGGTTTTATATTAAAAATTTATTACTGTAATCTACCAAATATCAAAATAAAGCAATTACCAAAATTGTTAAATACCCTAAAATCATCTTAACAGGTATGAAAAGAAACTTAATCATGTGAAAAGCACCCAAGTGGACAAGAGGGAGAATACTGTTTTTAAGAAAACAACAAAACAGAAACACACCAAAAAGATATGACACAAAATCAATAATGCTTAATAATATGATTTCATGTCATATGCAGTAAAAGTGATAAAAGAACAAAGGAAACTAATGAATTGATAATCAAGAGGTAAGAGTTTAAGATAATCTCTGTTGGAAGTCAGATTTAGTAAAAAAAAAAATATAAAGGGAGATATGGGAAATTTGAATAAAAATGCTATCTTAAAATGCTATCTTAATTACTTACATACACATAAACAGAGGTGAAAACAAACAGACAATACATATTCTTTCCAAAAACAAGATGCATTTATAAAAGTTGAACAATTAGCAATCCAAAAAGTAGTTTTCTGGTTCTTAAAATATGATATCATATGGGCTACTATCAGTATCTGCAATTTTAAAAAGTCTGAAATGACTAATAAAAGAAAAATTTTAAATATAATCAAGGAGGAAAAAAATCACAAATTGCATTATAAGGACAAAAGGTTAGAACTTTCTAGACTCTTACTCCATTTCTGTGGCTTAGTATGGTAATTGCTACTGATAACATATTCCTCTAGCATCTAACTCTCCTAGTTCTCATCACTCCATTGATACCAGATAACTCAATCCCAGTTCATCACCTCTCACCACCATCACTGTCCTATCAAGGCTGACCACCACTGTGCATTTCAAGGATGCTGGTATCTTCTTCACTAATGCTTTTCTCTATTTTTTTTTTAATAGAGACGGAGTCTCGCTCTGTCTCCCAGATAGGAGTGCAGTGATCTTGGCCCACTGCAACCTCTGCCTCCAGGGTTCAAGCCATTCTCCTGCCTCAGCCTCCTGAGTAGCTGGGATTATAGGAGCCCACTACCATGCCCACCTTTTTTTTTTTTTTTTTTTTTTTGTATTTTTAGCAGAGACAGGGTTTCACCATGTTGGCCAGGCTGGTCTCGAACTCCTCAAGTGATCCTCAGCCTCCCAAAGTGATGGGATTACAGGCATGAACCACCACGCTCATCCATGAGTGCTTTTCTTAATGCCCTAGTTAAAAGAATACCTTCAGAAGCTTCTTGTGGATATGACTGGGGCTTAGCTAAGAAGAGTACACAAAATATATTCTCTTCAACGTTCCCATCTCCCTGAATTTTTAGACTCCTTCTCCTATGGCATATCAGGGAAATTAAAGCATTTTAACCACATATCTATAAACCAGCTTTGAATCCAGGCTTGAATTTGCTAACTTAACAGACTTTTAATGCCACTTGCATTTCTTCAACCAAAAACATTCATTTTTAATTTTAAATGAATATATCCATATATATACATTCGACATGATCAATTTTATTTCATTCTTTATGGTCTAACACCCTTAGAATCTACTTCATCCACGGTCTCTAGACTACTCCGGATTCACATAGGTTACTTCGGATTGTATAGTCATTTCTGCCTGAAGAAATAATTCTTAAATTGCAGATTGACATCTATTTCTCATTAAGAAACCAGGGACACTAAGAAGGAATAATGAGAGTGGGTGAAATTCCTTGTGAGACAACTGTTCCAGATGAAATATTTTATTATTATTTTATAAAGAGTACCAAAGCCCTTAATGGTTGGAAAAATGAAGAAAAGGAGGTCTACTTCTTTTGACAAGGGGAATCCAAAGGGACTTTCATTGTCAGCCTTGTCCTTCCCTTGCAAATGTTCAATCCATACTTCTGAGTCTTAATACTTTCCCTCAGTGCCCTTGATTTAGCAAAAGACAAAGTACTCTGAATATTTGTCGCTGAAACTATGTAGCTTTTTTCTCAGCTAGATGTGGAACTCTGCATTTCAATTACAGGAGATAGAGACTCAGAATTGCCATCAAGGCTGTCTAATTGTTCATTGTCACATTGGCTATACACAGATTTCAGTTTCTCTGTTACCTTACCTCACATATCTAGGATCATGGGTGGAAGAGAGCAATTTCTATAACCTTGAGTTAACTTTTGTCTCCGTAATGCCTAACTAACTGTCAAATATACCAAAGTTCCTAATGCCCTGCTCTATTTGCATTCCAATCCATGCCATGGTCTAATGGTCATTTGAGCAAATTTGATGAACCTACATAAAAGAACTGTACTGTAACTTGGTGTGAGAAAGATCTATGTGCAGAGGTCAGCTTGACAGTAGAGTTTACTTTAAGCTGAGGAGACAATCAGCCAATACACACCAGGAAAGAGGGAAAGGGGGAAGGAATACCCTGAACTCACTAATCTTTTTCCCTCTGTTTTTGTTTTTTCTGGTGCTCTTCATTGGCTAAACCCAACTGGAAACAAGAGAGGAAGGAAGGGAGTCTCTTGATATACATTCCCAACAGGTCAACCTTCTGAGGAAGGTAGAGAGTAGCTCTGGAGAGTCAAAAAGAAAATGTTTTGCGTATTCTGTAAGAAGGTCACAAATGTTCAAACCCAAGTGATTGATTCACAAGTCATTTCTTTTTTCAGTGATATATTATTACCAAGATAGTCTTAATTTGGAGATTCTGGTATACTCAGTTGAGAGCCAATTGGTCCATATACAATGATATCAAAATAATCTCATTAAATTAAAATCAAACATTTTTCAGAATAATATGAACTATAACTTTAGGCAGTTCTATTACCCATGACTGCAGTGAAATATATTAGATTCCTTGTGAATGAGAGTCACGGACAATTCTTATAATTTCTAAGCAGGGATATAACTTCCATTCTCACATTTAGCATTTAAAGCATATGGGTCTCACTTCAACTAACAACAGAGAATTTATGCATTATAATTCATCTTTAAGAATTTCAGTACTAATTGACTGAAATCTAAAAACTGCCAAGCGTTGGCTCAAGACTTGCAAAATTTGAAAGAGAAAGGAATTCAACAGATGTATTAACTATCTGCTTTTCTTATGTCTGCAAATTCCATCCCAGTACTAAGATATAGCACTATAAATTAAATAAATAGATCTATTGTCTCAAGTCATAAATATCCTTATTAAGCTATTATTTTAAAATACTATTTTCCTCTTTGTACTAATAATTATATTTTCACATTTATGGAATATTTAATAAGTGCCTGAAACAGGTCAAAGATCTTTTTAAATGCATTTATTTAATTATCACAAAAATTATGTGTATATAATTTGAATAGCAGTTTCGCTATTCACAAGCAAAATTGAATAGCATTTTTGTGTTTTTTAGAAAATTTAAGCTGAAGATATTGTCTGCGGTGTTGACAATTAAAGCACAGACAAAACATATGGGGTAAATTTTATGCCTTAGTAAAATTCTATAAAAAAACTTTTTTTCTTAGGCGTGTGTGTGTGTGTGTGTGTGTGCGCACGAGTGCATGCAAGTATGTATAAGTATTTCAGAATAGAAATGTTGTATAACCCATATCTTAACATTTTAAATACAGATTTTCTCAGGTTTGGAATTTAACTGAGAGTACAATAAGCACAGCTCATGTACATAATGGATGCTACTTTCTCTGCACAATTTACATGATTTTTATTTTCTTTTATATCTCTAATATATCTTTTATATCTCTAAGCCATATTTTTGCAATAACTTCAAACTTGCTGTAAGCTTTTTTTGATTCAGTCTGAAATATATAGCATATACATTCTTAATAAATAAGGTAAAATTAATCTCAGTAGCTTGCTAATATTCTCAGCAGGAACTCTAGCTGTAGTTATTAAAGACATGGAGACGTAGTTTTGCTTCCATCCACAGGAATGTATCATTAAAAGCAATTTCAGGTATATAAAAAAGAAAAAATAATTGTTTCACATAGGCATTGGGTTACTATATTAAATATATTTTTATAAATATTAATGAAGATCTCAAAGCACTTTACATATTTATCAATCCTTATTGTCTTATTTTCCAAATACAAAGATAGCTACATGCAAATAATAAGAGCAACGCTTTTTGATATAAATATATATGACGACATGGAAACACATCTTTCCCTTTTATATTACGAGAACTTGCTGAAATGACAGATAAAGCCATATAGATATTTATAACCAGTTATGAAGGAGGCTAGGGGATTACATCATTTTTGGAATACATTTTGGTTATGAAAGAAAAAAGTAACCAAGAGCAACAGGTTCTTTAGTTTTAGTTTCTAGAAAAGCACCATTATCATATTGAAATTCTTATTTATGAAAGCAATGTTCTGTAGCCTAGACACTTGGGGACACCATTAACCCACTGGCAGATGCTTCCCTGGCTCTTTAATGTGTCTGATGAGTGGTGAAATCTGCTTTGCTGGTATTTTTCCATTTTCCCAATCAGAGTTGCTCTCCACCTTTCCCCACCCTGCTTTATACCAGTGGTATTTGCTCTGTTTAGACTATAAGAATGTCTGTGAGCCCCAGGAGATTAAAGGTATAAACGAGTTTAAAGTCAGGTACAGATCCTCCTGATTCTCTCCTTGTACGGATATTTTAGTTGGGCTGCACTCCTTGAAGTTAGCTGTAGCTTCTTTAAATGTGAACCTCTCCACAAGATTTTCTCCTTGCACGTTCTAATAACTATTTCACTTTTTCACATCGAGGAGTGGTAACTTCTCTGTGTTCTCTGCTGTACCATTCTTTATGAATTGCCAGCATTCTGTCCACAATTTAATATGTATTTTCTCCATCAAACTATCCTGATATGAATGTGCCATCCATTTCTTTTTGGAACTTTTACTAATATAGATAGCTTAGCAGCTTTGCCCTCTCTTGGTGCCTGGGCCTTATCCCTTAATCCACTGCTGTTGTTATACTGGCTGCATTTGCTTGCTTGTTTCATTCTGACACAGTGATTTCACTGGCACATCTTACTGTTTGAAGTTTTAAACTTGGCAACCCGGTTTATATCACTCAGACTTGGCTGTCATCAAAGAGCATCCTATAATGAAGCAGATGATTGGGTAAAGTGTTGCTATTTACCATCCATGGTCTCAGACAGGAATCCCTTAATGATAGAGTCATCACTTCTCTTATGATAGGCTGCCTGTGATCAAAGCCACACTGCTCAAAACTGTACTCATCTCTTTTCTATCATGTAGACTGTTATCATAATCTGCATGAAGATGGGAAGGAAACAAGGAGGATTGGCATTATGTAAAGCTAATTCTTATTTTTAAAATATCACATTGAGGTTATTATTCTAAGTATATTACCCTGATGCTTTCAGGATATTGTTATCTCTATGTCTACCTACCTACCTAGCTGTTTATGAGTTTATCTTTAAATCTCTCAACTTTTCAAGTTTTTCAACTCATAACCATCCTTGGTCAACATTTTGCCATGGCTTACAAGATCTTTTACAATCTGACTATACTTTATCTTCCCAAACTTACAGAGTTGCAATCAAGGGGCCATATGTTAAAAATTATATAATATTCTTTCATTTTATAAGGGCCTTGTAAGAAAAAAAAATCATGATCTTTGCAAAATCTTCCATCAAGTCTCTCCTTGAGAGCTAAATGAGAAGAAGATTAAAAATAATACCTAATGTTAAAATTCCTAATTTTATCTCCAAGAGAATTCTTAATTTACTATTCTAGTTTGGGAGTTGATTTGCCGATTAATTTCTTACCCTTTCAAAGAGGGTGTAACCCTTCACACCAGGTCTTTTCACTCTAGTTTAACATTTTCCTCTCTGTCTGGAAAATACCTTCTCCTATCCCCTGACAACATCAACTAGGTGCTTGAAAAGTGACTGAGCTTGTGACTCAAACCTAGCATCACTGGTGTGTTTTTCTCAAACCTAGAATCTCTAGTGTGTTTTTGACAAGAAACTAGAGCATTTCTTCAGTCTGAATTTGTGTCACACATTGCTGCACACTTTGAATAGGATTTATCCCCTTCCAACTGTGTCTTTGGTCCTCACTCCCTGGGGAGGAAGATTATCAGGTGTAGTCCATGTCATTTCTCCACCATATGGAACTAAGTTTCTGGAGAATTCTCTGTTTCCAGGTATATGGCAGGGAATGTACAAGATAAGCCTGACATCTCATTGGACCTGAAATTATGGAAGTGCTTAAAAACTAATGGGTACGTGAAAAAAACAGGGGTCACAGAAATATTCAAGTGCTCCCTGTTAGCTGAACCAGGGATAGTTTGAGCATCAAAATATGTAATAATAGTAATGGACTATAACCAATTCAATAAAGTAGAAATTCACCAACTTATACTGATACACGTAAATAAACAAGAACTGTAACTTATTCTTATAGTAACATGCAAAACACTGAATGGGGAAGAATGACGCTGTTAGGAAAATAACCATTTAACTAACATACTAATAATTGGTTAGGTGAGAAACATCAATGGGTAAAAATACTAGTGATCAATGTTTGATAACATATGGTACATCTACATAGTGCTAAAGTATCTCGCCCCAAATAACTTGTAAATTAAAAAGTAACTTCAATGGAAAAATCTAGAAGATATCACTTTTACAAAGTGATCAAAGTTAACATCACGTATGAGAAATATATAAATTATATTTATATACATACATAGACATAATTATTTATAATATGTAAGTTTTACATATTTTTTAAAATTTTTGTTGCAAAGGGCATTATTTGGGAAAATATGAGTAAAATCTATAAAATAGTTTTTATCCATAATAAATTTTAAATAAAAATATGTACATTTTCTTAGTAAATAAATAGTAAATTATTTAGAAGTAAAATGGCATGTATTCAACTGACCCTCAAATGGTTTAGGGAAATAATAAAAATATGTGTAAATATGTAGAGATTAATTATAAAGCAAATGTATTGAAATATTTACAATTGGAGAATCTGAATGTCAGATGGGAATTCTTTGTTATGATTTTGAACTTTTCTAAAATTATTTGAGAAAAATAAAACAAAAGTAGTAAAAGTCATTGTATTAGTTTTCTAGGGATGCCGTAACAAAATACCACAGAGTGTTTGGCTTATGCAATGGTAATATATTTTATCACAATTGTAAAGGCTGAAAGATCAATATCAAGGTGTTGGCAGTATTTAGTTATTTTTAAGCCTCTTTCCTTTGGTGTAAATGGTCATTTTTCTCCATGTCTTCATATGGTCCTGTGGGACTTGGTGTTGTGATCTCTTCTTCTTGTAAGAACTCTAGTTATATTGAATTAGGTCTCACCCTAATTACCTCATTTTAATTTAATTACCTCTTTAAGGAACCTATCTTCAAATACAGTCACATTCCGAGGTACTGGATATTACAACTTCAAAATATGAATTTTGAGTACAAACAATTCAGATCATAACATATATAAGCCTTCAAATTAATTAACAATATTGCATGGCCAATTGATATGAAAATGGTTTTTAAAAAGTTTTAGAGTCAGGTGGTACTTGTGCAGGTCTGTTACATGGGTATAATGCATAATGCTGAGGTTTGGGCTTCTAATGAATCCATCACCCAAATAGTAAAATAGTACCCAATAGGTAGCTTTTTAACCCTTTCTGCCCCTACATCTTCCCTATTTGAGTTTCCCAGTATACGTTATTTCCATCTTTATGTCTATGTTTACCCATTGTTTAGCTTCCACTTATAAGTGAGATGTGTTGATTTTCTATTATTTTGAGGCATGTTCCTTTGATGCCTAGTTTGTTGAGAGTTTTTATGATAAAGCCATGTTGGATTTTATCAATGATTTTCTGTATTTATTAAAATAATCATATGGATTTTATTTTTAATTCTGTTCATGTGGTAAGTCACATGTATTGAATTCCATATACTGAACCATCTTTGTATCGGTAGAATAAAACCCAGTTGATCTTGATGAATTATGTATTTGATTCAATTTTATAACTTGTTATTGATCTAGTAGGGATTTCAATTTCTCTCTGGTTCAGTCTTGGGAGTTTGTAGGTTTCCAGGAATTTATCCATTTTCTTTATATTTTTCTGGTTTGTGTGCATTGCAATGTAAATTTATAGTAGTCTTGGGATCACTAATATTTCACTGGTATCAGTTGTAGCACCTTTATCTTTTATGATTATGCTTATTTGAATCTACTCTTTTGTTTTATTGGTTAATCTAGCTAGCAATAGCAATAGCAATCATTTCTAATATCATTTGGATTTGTGTCCCTGACAAAATCTCATGTTGAATTGGACGAGGGGCCTGGTGGGAAGTGATTGGATCATGGGGGTGGATTTCCTCCTTGCTGTTCTCATTATAGTGAGTTCTCATGAGATCCAATGGTATAAAAGTGTGTGGCACTCCCACCTTTTCTCTCTCTCTCTCTCCCCTTCCACCATATAAAGAAAGTCCTTGCTTCCTTTTTGCTTTCTGACATGACTGTAAGTTTCTTGATTCTTCCCAGTCATGCTTCCTGTTAAGCCACAGAACCGTGAATCAAATTAAACCTCTTTTCTTCTTAAATTATGTGGTCTCAGGTAGTTCTTTATAGCACTGCGAATACAGACTAATATAGAAAATTGGTACCAGAAGAGTGGGACACTGCTATAAACGTACCTGAAAATGTGGAAGTGACTTTGGAACTGGGTAATGGGCAGAGGTTGGAACAGTTTAGAGGGCTCAGAAGAACACAGGAAGATGTGAGAAAGTTGGGAACTTCTCGTTAAATGGTTTTGATCAAAATGCTGAGAGTGATATGAAGTCTAGGTGAGGTAGTCTCAGATGGAAATGAGAAAATTATTGGGAACTGCAGTAAAGGTCACTCTTACTATCCTTTAGCAAAGAGACTGACAACATTTTTCCCCTGCCCTAGAGATCTTTGGAACTTTGAACTTGAGAGAAATGATTCAGGATATCTGGAGGAAGAAATTTCTAAACAGCAAAGAATTCAAGAGGTCACCTGGCTGTTTCTAAATGTGTACACTCATACACACGAACAAAGAAATAATCTGAAACTGGAACTTATATTTAAAAAGGAAGCAGAGCACAAATGTTTGGAAAATTTGTAACCTGATCATTTGGTAGAAGAGAAAAACCCATTTTCTGGGAAAGAATTCAAGCCAGCTATAGAAATTTGAATAAGTAAAGAAGAGCTAAATGTTTATAGCCAAAACAATGGGAAAAATGCTTCCAGGGCATTTCAGAGATCTTCACAACAGCCCCTCCAATTATACGCCCTGAGGCCTAGGAGGAAAAATGGTTTAGTGGGCCAGGCCCAGGGGCAAGCTGCTCTGTCCAGACTTAGGACACGACACCATGAGTCCCAGCCACTCCAGCTCCAGTCATGGCAAAAAGGGGCCAAGGTATAGTTTGGGCTGTTACTTCAGAGGGTGCAAGCCCCAAGCCTTGGTGGCTTCCACATGGTGTTGGGCCTGCAGGTGCACAGAAGGCCAGAGTTGAGGTTTGGGAGCCTCCACCTAGATTTCAGAGGATGTATGGACATGCCAACATGTCCAGGCAGAAGTCTGCTGCAGGGGCAGAGCCTCATGGAGAACCTCTACTAGGGAAGTAAAGAGGGAAAATGTGGAATTAGAGCCCCTAAATAAAGTCCCCACTGGGGCACTGCCTAGTGGAGCTTTGAATAGAGGGCCACTGTCCTCCAGACCCCAGAATGGTAGATCCATCTACAGCTTGCACCATGCACCTGGCTGGCTTTGAGCTGCAGGCACTCAATGCCAGCCCATGAAAGTAGCCACAGGGGCTGTAACTTGCAAAGCCACAGGATCAGAGCAACCCAAGGCCATGGGAGCCCACCCCTTCCATCAGAGTATGCTGGATATGAGACATAGAGTCAAAGGAGATTAATTTGGAGCTTTAAGATTTAATGACTACCTGCCTAGGTCTTGCATCAGTCCTATGGCTCCTTCATTTTGGCTAATTTCTCCCATTTAGAATGGTAGCATTTACCAAATGCCTCTACCACCACTGTATCTTGAAAGTAGATGACTTGTTTTTTATTTTATAGACTCATAGGTAGAAGGGACTTACTTTGTCTTAGATGAGACTTTGACTATGGATTTTTGAGTTAATGCTGAAATGAATTAAGACTGAACGACTGTCGAAAAGGGATCATTGTATTTTGCAATGTGAGAAGAATATATGCACTCAATACTAGAGCACCCATATTTATAAAACAAATGCTACTAGACCTAAGGAAAAAAATAGACAGTGATACAATAATAGTGGGGAACTTCAACAACCCATTGACATAACTAGGCAGATCACTGAGGTAAAAAAACAACAGAGAAACTCTGCAGTTAAATTGGTCTCAGCTAAATGGACCTAATAGGCATCTCTCTCTCTCTCTCTCTCTCTCTCTCTCTCTCTCTCTATATATATATATATATATATATACACACACACACACACATACATATACATACACACATATATACACATATATATGTATGTGTCTATTATATATGTCTATATATTAAATAGATGTCTATTTTATATATATATATATTTCTAAGCAGCAAATAATTCAAGAAGTTACCTGGCTGTTTCTAAAAGTGTACACTCATACACATGAACAACGAAATAATCTGAAACTGGAACTTATATTTAAAAAGGAAGCAGTACACAAAAGTTTGGAAAATTTGCAGCCTGATCATTTGGTAGAAGAGAAAAACCTATTTTCTGGGGAATAATTCAAGCCATCTTGAATAAATATATAAATATATAT
This sequence comes from Homo sapiens, assembly GCF_000001405.40. Classification (NCBI taxonomy): domain Eukaryota; kingdom Metazoa; phylum Chordata; class Mammalia; order Primates; family Hominidae; genus Homo; species Homo sapiens. The sequence continues at coordinate 68,402,407 of NC_000006.12, read as the reverse complement.
ATTTATACATATTAAACATATATATTTAAATATATCTAAATCTTCTTGTTGAATCAATCCCTGTCATTATATAATGCACTTCTTTGCCTTTTTTTTTTTTTTACTGCTGTTGGTTTAAAGTCTGATTTATCTGATAGAAAAATAGCAAGCCTTGCTCTTTGTTTTCCATTTGCATGATATATCTTTTTCCATCCAGTTACTGACACCTATAGGTACCATTGCATGTTACATGGGTCTCTTGAAGGCATATGTTTGGGTCCTGTTTTTGTATTCAATTTGCCAACTGATATCTTTTAAATGGAGTTTTATGGCATCTGCATTCAGGGTTAATAATGATATGTGAGATTTTGTGTCTCTCATAGTGTCATTAGCTAGTGGATTTGTAGTCTCAATTGTGGATTTGCTTTATAGGATCTGTGAACTTTGTACTTTTGTGTGGTTTTATGATAGCAAGTATTGTCCTTTTGTTTTCAGTTTAGACTTCCTTTGAGCATTTGTTTTTTGTAAGACTGATCTGGTGGTGACAAATTGCCTTAACATTTGCTTGCCTGGGAAAAACTTTATTTCTCTTTTGTTTATGATGCTTAGTTTGGCAGGATATAATATTATTGGCTGGCATTTTTTTTTCCTTTAAGAAAGCTAAAAATAGGCCCCTGGTATCTTCTGGCTTGTGAGGTTTTTGCTGAGATGTCTGCTGTTAGCCTGATGAGATTATCTTTATTTGTGATTTGGCCTTTTTCTCTAGCTGCCTTTAAGATTATTTTTTGTTGTTAGCATTAATCTTGGGTATTCTAATGACTGTGTGTCTTGATGATAGTCATTTTCTGTTATCTTGCAGGTGTTTTCTGAATTTCTTCTCTGGATGTCTATCTAGCAAAATTAGAAAAAATTTCCTGAATTATTCCATCAAATGTATTTTCCAAGTTGCTTACTTTTTGTTTTTCTCTCTCAGAAATGCCTGTTTTAGGTTTGATTGCTTTATATAATCCCATATTTTTCAGTCTTTCTTCATCTTTAAAATCTTTATTTTTTTGTGAGTAGGTTAATTAAAAAGACTAGCCTTGGAGCTCTGAAACTGTTTCCTCTGCTTGGTCTAGACTACTGTTAAGACTTTCACATGAGATTTCAATTCTTTCAGTTAATTTTTTATTTTCTGAAGATATATATATTTATATACATATATATTTTGTGTGTGTGTGTGTGTATGTGTGTGTTGGCTTTCAACTTTCTCTTGGATTTCATTGAGCTTCCTTACAATTCATATTTTGAATACTTGATACTTTCAAAATTCTATGCATTGCTTCAGAACTAGTGTGATCCTTTGGGGCGTCACAACATTCTGTTTCTTCACAGTGCTAGAATTATTGTTCTGGTTCCTTCTCATCTGTAGAAGCTCTTGTTACTTTTTAATTTACTTTCATTTAGGTTAGGTTTTTATCTCCCTTGAGCATAATACTGTTGCATACATTGGGTAGGATTCTTTAGATTTGCTTCTTTGTGCTTTTAGGGGGCCAAAGATTTGTATGGCTTCCTTGGTTATAGATAGCTTTAGTGCAGTGTTTTTTTCAAATGATAGTTGTTTGTGACTTGTAGTAGTGGTGTACTGTGCTTGTGGTCAGACTCACTGTCTCCTACAGGGCTGGGAAGGTGAAGGTCTTGATAGGCTTCTCTTATTCCCCAGCACTGTGCACTTCTGTTAGGAGAAATATTGGGTTATGCAGTTCAACGTGCAGTCCAGTAGGTAGTGTTTGCAGGTAAAGGCCAGCTGAGTGCCACACACTGATGTCAGCAAAAGTTACGGGCCATGCAGGTGGACCTCCTGACCAGTAGGTGGCACTTGCAGGTGAACACAGTGGTGTTAATGTCAATGGGATTTTTACCTAGCCTTTGTTTTTCAGATGAAGTATTGGTGATGACTGGGAGATGAGGCTTCTGGGGTGGTATCATCCTGCACTGTGCTACCATGGAGACTAGAGGGGGCAAAGCTGGGCAGGGCTGGGTCTGGTGAGCTAGCAACCAGACTCTTCAAAGTGGGCACAAGAACTGACCTTGGCAGAGGTTCTAAGGGCAGCTGTCTGGCTGCTGGGACAACCCTTAAGAGAGGGGTGGAGGCACCACTCCTGTGCCACAGAGCTCACTTAGGGGAAGACCAAAGCCTGGGGTTTTCAGCCCATTAGGCAGTTGTGGGGCCTACACAGCTCACAGACACCCAACCCAGAGGGTCTCCCTCCAGAGTCCAGCCCTGGCAACAGGCCCAATCAGTTAGGCTTATCCCATGCCATCTGCACACAGATTGTGCCACTTCAGGCATTCCAGACAACAGGAGTCACTGAGGGGAAAACTGACTATCAGATCATATTGTTCCTGGTCCAATCACATGAAAGGAGGCATAGTCAGCTCCTGTACCACCATACGAACCAGTGCCACACTCTTCTCTCTGTTCTGAAAGTGAGGGATACTCTTCCACTTGAGATCAGGCCACACATTTGATCTTCATACTGAGCAGTGTGCTTGAGTCCCAGGGAACTAGGTCCAGGCCAGGGGATTTATCCTCTGGCCCTTCAGTGACAAGTGGTGATGTGATGGGGGGTGAACTGCTCCCGGATTACCAATGAAACACTCATATGGGGCAATGGAGGCTATCCTGTTGGCCCCACCCTGTGGGAACAGCCATAAAGTCAGTCTTGAGAGGGACCAACAGGCAAGGGGGTGCATTGTTTGGAAGCATCTTGGTCCCACAGCAATGGTGGTGGGACCTGACTTGTCTTAGTCATATGAACATGCCTGAGCATTTCTCTCTCCTGCCAGGCAGAAGCAGAAACTGCAGCTGTTCATTGCAGGATGGAGAGTCTTGTGGGGTGGGCACCTAAAAAGGGTTCCATTTTTCTGCAGCTGCCCAGCACAGCAAGCCTTCTGGGCTCCATGTGGGTTCAAGCAATGCAACTGTGTATTCTCTAGGCAGCTTCCCTGCCAGTCCAAAGTCTTTTGTGGGGTATGTGGGAGGGCTTGTGAGAGCTTCTGTAGCTAGGATCTCAGAGGCCTGTGGCAAGAATGTGGTGCCCCAAGGTTGCTCCACTCATCCCTTCTTTGGGTCTTTTCTGGGTTCAGGGCCCAGATCTGGAGCCTATCATCCCTGAGTAGACTGTTCTGCACGTTTATCTGCAACCAAGGTGTCTTCTCTTGCCTATCAAATTTTTGTGTTTTCTTTCAAATGATTGTTCAAATTGTAAAGGTTTACGTGATATTTTGGTTCCTCTCTGTGGAAGAGGCACATCCCAGCTAGATCTAGCCTCAACCTCAAACATTTCTTTCCCATAATCAATTTCTCATGTAATTAAAAAAATCTATACTATAAACAGCATTTATTTTATTATTTGAATTAAATTATTAATTTTTATATTGGGTTTACATTATTAGAATACAATTACTGAAACATTTATCAGTATGTTATTATACACATATATATATTCCTTTTATTTTGCACTAACCTGCATGTTGTGCACATGTACCCTAAAACTTAAAGTATAATAATAAAAAAAAGAACTTATTTTTCCTTTTGGTGGTGACATTTAGGCATTTAAAATTCAAGTTCAGGAGTTTTGGAGACTTGGATTGTAGGAGGTGGGAAAAAATGTGTACAATTTATTTTTTTCATAATCATGTTAAATATAGAGACCATTATAAGCATCTTCATGGAATAATGATCAATTGTGAAGTCTGGAAATGGAATGCATAGTTTTTCTACTGGATATAAACATTGAAATTTTCTTTAGTAATAAGTATTCATCTTAATACTTATAAAAGCATTTTTTCTCAAGTTCCAGTGCCATTTACCAAGTATAAGCTCTCCTGCCTGAATTTTGGCGGTGTTATTCTAAAAGATTTAGTATTCTTATCATGAGAGTTACCCATTTCCAAATATAATGAAGTCACCCATCTGCTAAATACCTTTTCATGTTTTATAAGAGTCTAGAAATACTTGCTTTATAAGGTCTTTGCATGACTGTGTGCCTACTTACCTTTTTAAATTGTCTTTTAGCAGTTTCTCCCCACCACAGTGTAGTACGCCAAATGATAAGACATGCTGTGCCCCGTCATCTCTTTCCCGTCATGCTTGCGGTGTCATGCATACCTCTTTCATATCCTTCATAGTCACTGCATTAATGTTCTCGAGCTAACATTATGCATGTACCATAAAATTAGATATTTTAAAATGTATAATTCAGTGATATTCAGTATATTCACTTTAGTATATTCAGTTTTATATATTGCCCAGTGTTGCATAACCACTACTGTCATTTAATTCTAGTACATTTTTATCACCTAAAAAAATAATTAGCACTCATGCCTAATTCTCCCCTTCCCTTAGCCCTTGGCAATCAAATATCTACATTTTGTCCCTCTTGCCTATTTTGGACATGTTTTATAAATGAAGCCATGCAATATGTGATCTTTTGTGTCTGTCTTCTTTCACTTACTATCATGTTTTAAGAGTCATCCATGTTGTAACATGTTATAGCACTTCATTCCTTTTTATGGGCAAATAATATGCTACTCTATTCTTATATATTCTATTTACTACATAGTCCATTTTGTTCGTTCATTCATCAATTGAAAGACATTGGATTGTTTTCACTTTTTGGCTATTAGTAATAATTCTACAATGAACATTCATGTACAAGGTTTTGTGTAGACACATATTTTCAACTTTCTTATGTATATACCTAGAACTATAATTGCTGGAGTGTGTACTGACTCTATATTTAACTTCTTGATAAACTTTCATTGTTTTTCAAAACTACTGAATTCTTTTACCATCTACCAGCAACATATTAGGGTTTTAATTTCTCTGCATCCTTACCAATACTTGTGATCATCCCTGTTTTTGATAATAGCCATCCTAGTGGGTATGAAGTGGTATCTCATTTTAGTTTTAATTTGCATTTCCCAAATTATGAATTATATTGATATATTTTAGTGTGCTTATTTGCATTTGCACATTTTCTTTGAAGAAACATGTATTCAAATACTTTATACATTTTTAATTGAATTGCTTGTCTTTATATTGGTCAGTGGTAAGAGTTTTTAACATATTCTGGATAATAGGCCCATATTACATGATTTACAAATACTTTCTCCAATTCTGCAGGTTGTCCCTTCATTTTCCTGATAATTTTCTTTGAAGTACAACATTTCCAATTTTGATGATGCTCAATTTATCTATTTATTCTTTTGTTGGTGTTGCTTTTGGTGCCCCATCTAAGAAACCATTGCCGATTCTAGATCATAAACATTATACAGCTATGTTTTCTCCTGAGAGTTTTATAGTTTATGACCCATGCTTAGATATTTGACCCATTTTGAGTTAATTTTTGCATATGGTATGAAGGAATGCATACGGTACCTTTATTCTGTTGCATGAATATATCCAGTTGTCCTAGCACCATTTGTTGAAAATGATTTTTTTCCCATTAAATTGTCTCAGCATTCTTGTTGAAAGTGGTGTCATGCATACCTCTTTCATATCCTTCATAGTCACTGCATTAATGTTCTCGAGCTAACATAATATTATGGACAGGTTTGCTTAAACAACAGAAATACCTTTTTCTCACATTTCTGGAGGCTAGAATTCTTAGATCAAGGTCTGGCAGGGTTGATTTCTGGTTAGGGTTCTCTTACTGGCTTGCAGACAGCTGCTTTCTTGATGCGTCCTCTCATGATGGAGAGAGAGCACAGGAGGTCTACGGTGTCTGGGCTTATAAGGACACTAATCCTATTGGATCAGGGCCCCATCCTTCTAAATTACTAAACTTTAAGTACCTCTATTAACAGCCTTGTCTCAAAATATAGTCACATTGAACGTTGGAACTTATACATATGAATTTTGAGGGAACACATTCAGTTCGTAACACTCACTTATTTTTGTCTACATGTTCTGCTAAATTGCAAATTTCTTGTTTCACTCTGCAGTGTTCCCACACACAATACAGTGCCAGGCATATAGTAGGCACTGAGTAAATATTTCTTGAAATAATGAATGAATGACTGTAATCCAAAATTATAGTAGATAAAAGTGATGAACTAAATATATTTAATTGAAACATATTTGTGGTATGTTTTGATAATTTCATTTTTCATGCCAATACCTTACCTAACTAATTTTATGACTTATCGGTGATCACAGAAGAAAAGTGGTAAAGAAAATGTTATGATGTTTTCTCTATTATTCATTTAGCTTCATTTAAAAACACTATTTTAGTTTTAAGATTATTTATATGGAGAATTTTTAACTTTATTGAATCTCTGAGCCTGTGGGCACTTTCAAAAATTATTTAGGTTTCCAATGTAGGGCAGAGCTAAAAAAAATCCTTGAGATATTTTAACAAGGTAATTTCTTAAATAAGCAAATATTTTCTATTAATTTGGGGTTAATATTGCATATTTAACATCATGTATTGTATACATTGGCATTGACCAAAATATATTTCATAATTAACATATCTCTTTTTATGTCAAATTAATATTCCTTTATGTGCTCTTTTGATCATTCAGAAGTAGAGTGACGGATTATAACCAGAATCAGAAATGAATAGGGAATGTGGGCTAAAATTATTATGTCACTTTTAAGTATGGTTGCTATTATTTGCATTTTAATAAAATGTGTATCTAAAGTGTATACTCAAGTCACTAATTCATGTATTCGAAGATCCAACAAACATTAGTTAAATACCTATTTTTGCCAGGCAATGGAGACATATGAATTGAAGACAAAGTTCCCACTCTCTAGGAGCCCACAGTCTAAACTGAGATACACAAAAATATAAGTAGACACAAAATCATATGGTGAGTTATACGTCTGAATTGTGTAGTTACTATGAGAAGATTCCTATATAAGTAGTTATATATACTTACTATATTTGCATGATGGAGATGGGGAAAGTTTTTAAGGTGGGCGAATAAAAAATTATGCTAACTGGGGAGAAGTGGTTTTCCCAATCAGAAAAGTCCCTGTAGATATAACACGGAATATCAAGCACGAGAAAATTGACAGTAATTTAGCCTAGAAAGATCACTAGATATATAAAGGGAAGGGAAACTAGCAAGATCTGTAATGCATTGGTCATGAAAGAGGTAGTGTTTAACCTTTTTGTCTGTATGATAGTCAAAGTCCTGGAGGATTTTAAACAGAAAAAAATAGCATCAGCATTTTATTTTAGAGCAATCATTAGGCAACGAAGAATCATGAGAGAATTTCCCAGTTGTTATGGATTGGGAGACTAGGATTAGGGCTACACAATCACTTTCCTAGGTCCCAGTCACTTTTGCCTTCATGAGCCACTTCCTCTAGGAAAAGTAATTATTACTGTGTTGGTATCGTTGGTGGCCCAGGAGCACGTACACTGCTGGGAATTTTTTAGAATCTCAGGTTTTACTCCATACCTACTGAATCAGAATCTGCATTGAACAAGATCCTCAGGTACTTTATAAACACATTAAAGTTTGAGAAGCTCTGACTCAGATACCACAATTAGTGTTAGATAAGCAGAGGGACTTTTTTCCCTGAGAAAGATGGTGATAAAATATGGTGCATAGAGATAACAAATTGTAGTTGGTTAAATAAAAGAGGCAGATACTGATTACTTAAACTTTTTTTCTGAGAGCAAAAGGCAAGCTTTTCTATTAATAGAGAAAAAAAGACATTGGGGCTAGTGCAGTGTTACAGTCTGATGTTTGCCCTCACAATTCATATGTTGAAACCTAATCACCAATGTGATGGTATTAGGAGGTGTGGCTTTGGGAAGTGATTAGGTCATGAGGGCAGATCCCTCATGAATGGGATTAGTGCCCTTGTAAAAGAGGCCCCAGAAAACTTTCTTGCTGCTTCCACCATGTAAGGATACAGTGAGAAGATACCATCTATGAAAGGGCCCTCACCAGATACCAAATCTGCTTGCACCTTGATCTTGAATTTCCAAGCCTCCGGTAATATAAAAAAAAAATCTGTTGTTTATAAGCTACCCAATCTATGACACTGCTTTACAACAGCCCAACCAGAATAAGACAAACAGGCTAAGAATATTGAGAAATATTATTTTCTTAGAAATAGCTGTGGAGAATAAGACAAATAGCTAGGCAGAGATTCAGTCTGCTGCTAAGTGTTCGTGTAGTGGGGTGGAAAGAGGGTGGTTGACATCTAAGATACTTTGGTACTAGACTTCATATACTTTTTTTCCAGCAGCTCTGAGCATGTGTAGAAATTAGAAAATTCAGAAATTTATAGCAATTTAAGATTAGAAGGAAGATAAGTTGCCAAAGATGTTGAGAGTGCTGACTAGAGAGTTAGAAAGTACTTTTAATAATGTATTTTTAACTGGGTGTGTAACACTGCTGTATTGGAATACCAATGAAGTGAAAAGGATTAATAAGCTCTGAGAAAAGTTATTCAAGAAAATGTAGAGATTAATGAGACTGAAGAACACATTTAGTTGCAGTCCAGCATAAAATATATAGGGATTAACAATCATAATGAGAAAGTGGCATGTTGGAGGTTAAATCCTTTGATGTGTGGTGGATCTGGGATTTGACACTGTCTGGAGAGTGAATCACTAAGTAAATGTCAGAGCGTGGGAGGAAAAGAGATCAAATAATTTGTAAGGTGTCGGGTGATCATGCACTGAAACCCTGAAGCACCCTCTCCTTTTCCATCAAAGCTCCCAGACTGCTATACCAGTAGAGGGGAGAAATGGGAGCCCACTGCTATGCCCCACTGAGGAATACAATTGTTACGAAATGGTAAAAGGAGGTAAAGTGGCAAGGCATAAACTTCAAAGATGGTGGTGGGAATATCAGCCCTTGCAGATGGGAAACTAAAGGTCTAAAAGGGCTACAAATAAAGTATATTTTATGTCAAAAAATTCAAATATGTGGAGAATGAAAGGGCAGCCATAGAAGCATACAGACAGCTGCAGGAGGGATAGTTTTTATTTCAACCACTAGATTTGAATAACAAAAAATAAACTAAGAATAAGGTAAATATTAATACAGAAGACAAGACTGGAAGGGAGATAATGCAGAGACAACATGGAAGTACTCACGTGTTTGACAAACTCTTCTCTAGGTGGGGGAAAGGAGAGAGAAAATTATTCCTTTAGGACATTCACCTGTATGTGGAATCAACAGCTGGCCCTGTTGAGTTTACAGAACTCTCAAACAAGAAGATAGAAGTAGAAGACACTTTTAAGGCCTTGAAGTCCAACCCCTGCCTCCCACTCACAAAATAGTCTCCTTAGAGCGCGTAGAGGTGGTGGGGTATGAGAAGGAAGACACATCCTTCCTTGATGTCAGTGATTCTGGGATTGAGCAGCAGCACAATTGATCTTGGCCAGATATTTGACAGCCCTCTACCATCACTCCCAAAGCAAGTGAACAATTCATAAATGGTGCTTGGACTATTGTGTCTTGATTTTGGTACTCTTACCTTCTTTAGATCACATTTTTGTATAATTTCTGTGAGTGTCTGGCTCTCCTACTGGACTGAAACTTACTTACATTAATTTATTGAGTTGGGGTCTTACTCTTTTGCCTAGGCTGGAGTTCAGTGGCACAGTCAGTGTTCACTGCAGCCTCAACTTCCTTGGCGCAGGTGATTCTCCCACTGCGGCCTCCCAGGTAGCTGGGACTATAGGCACACGTCACCACACCTGGCTAGTTTTCTGGATTATTTTTGTAGAGCCAAGGTTTTATCATGTTGCTCAGACCAGTCTCAAACTCCTGGGCTGAAGTGATACACCCTCCTCGGCCTCCCAAAGTGCTGGGATTACAGGCATGAGCCACTGTGCCCAGCCCTGAAACTTCCTTTGTATACGGTTACCATAAATTAGTCATCCCTGTATTCTCTTTCCCAGCTCTCAACAAAGTACTCTATGTAATATTCAATAATGTTTGTTTTCTAAATCAGTAAATCCCAATGGCCCTATGCTGCAGGAACCTATAGTCTCAGGGAACAAAATGGCACTCTTTGAGTAATGACTTTGCATTCTTTCAGCACGTAGGATGTAACCATATGCCTAAGAAACCTGTCTACAGGCTTGATTAAAAGACAAAACAAAATAGTTGAAAGTCACAGTGCTTTTGATTTAATTTTCAAATACTTAGGTTATCTCTTTGGGTTAAATGTGGATAATTCATCTATTAAAAAGTAGGAGTTTATGATCTATTGTCCCTCACTGTTCAAGGACCACTTCAATGTTCCCTGACCACTATTCTGTTATGGAAAATTAAATGAAACCCTTTTTACCCATTAGCAAAGGAATGCATATTATATGCAAAGAGCATTATCTCTGGACTATTTTTAATATAGATTTTGAACTATGATATCTCATGACTATGCTTACTTATATTTATATTAGCCTTGCTTTTCCTGTAACATGCAGTTTTGTAAAAATGTTTCTCAGAGTTCCATTTCTCTTTTTGTCAGGAATGCATTTCATTGCAAATAACAGAAAGCCAACTAACATGTATAGATTTATTTTTCTCACTTAATAAGAAATCTGTCAGTAACAGACCAGAGCTAGTGTACGAGCTTCATGAGGCTATCAGAAACCAGAGACTTTTTAATATTTGGAGTGCCATTTCTAGCATATGTCTTTCCACGCCCAGCCCAAGTTGCAAGATGATTGCTGTACTTATTTATATGCTCCTAGCAAGAAAAAATAAAAAAAAGGCAAAGGGGGCAAAAGAGGAAGGCCTAACAAGCCTCTTTCTTCTAAGAAGGCTTCCCGGCCAGGCATGGTGGTGGTTCCCAGCACTTTGGGAGGCCAAGGTGGGCGAATAATTTCAGGTTAGGAGTTTGAGACCAGCCTGGCCAACATGGCAAAATCCTATCTCTACTAAAAATACAGGCCAGGCATGGTGGCTCATGCCTGTAGTCCCAGCACTTTGGGAGTCTGAGGTGGGCAGCTTGAGATCAGGAATTCGAGACCAGCCTGGCCAACATGGCGAAACCCCATCTCTACTAAAAATACAAAAATTAGCCAGGTGTGGTGACGGGTGCCTGTAATCCCAGCCACTTGGGAGGCTGAGGCAGGAGAATCACTGGAACCCAGGAGGTGCAGGTTGCAGTGAACTGAGATCGCACCATTGCGCTCCAGCCTGGGCAACAAGAGTGCAACTGTGTCTCAAAAAAAAAAATTAGCCAGGCATGGTGGCACATTCCTGTAATTCCAGCTACTCAGGAGGCTGGGGCAGGAGAATCGTTTGAACCTGGGAGGCAGAGGTTCCAGTGAGCCAAGATTGCGCCACCGCACTCCAGCCTGGGCAACAGGGCAAGACTCCATCTCAAAAAACAAACAAACAAACAAATGAACAAAAACAACAACAACACAAAGGTTTCCTTCCTGGAAGCTTTACCCAGAGATTCCCACTGTACTGGCTGGAACTGGGCCATGTGGCCACTTCTAGACAAATTTTACTAGAGGTTGGCCTAAGAAAAGGAATTATGAAAAGGGTTTGGTTAATATAACCACAGCATTAATTACATGCCTTTTGCCTTTTATCTTTGATCTCTATGTCTGTGTAACACTTTCTTGGATACATATGGTCTTGGACTCAAATACCATTATTCATATTATTTATTCAGATTTATCTATACATTTTATGAGGATACTTGAACAGTTATTTCAATAATAGCTCATATTTATTAGCCATTTACTCAGTGCTAGAGAAATGTTTTGCATAACATTATTTAAACTTAATTCTATAGGGTATCAATGATGAATTGTGTCTTAGGTTGAATATGTTACCACAAGTTTAATAAGTTTCTATCTTTCTTTTTTTTTTTGGTTAAGGATATATTAAACCTATATTCCTCCTTCTCTTCCTTCTTTTGTTTCTCTTTCTAGTTTGGTCAATCTTTTCTTTGTGAAAGATCTCACTGGTAGGGAAGAAGAAAGTACTATAGCATAGTATTTCTTAAAGTGTGTTTCAAGGGTTGTTAAACGTGATACACATTAAAAATAGTTAATCAAATAATTTTAAAAATATGCTATATAAAACTAAGTTTAAAATATTTATTTAGGCAAAAAAGTAAGACCCTGTTTCAAAAATAAAACTATTTATATGATTATTATTTGCTTTCCCAGCTGAAGAACAAGCTTTCTGAGAGTGGTGGCTGAGTCACTGTTGCTCCTGCTTATAAATCCAGGGTCTAGTATAACGTTCTGTATAAGGTACAACATAAGTTATTATCTTTAGTTGAATCCTAGACCTCCTGATATGCTAATGTACTGAGTGAAAATCTGAGAAAGAAAATGCAGTGTTTAAGTCTCTGAACCAAAATAACTACTGTATAATTTTAAAAATGTATTATAGTTTTGAAATCTGTAAAACAAAAAAATATACAAAATTCAAAATAATGCAGTGGAAAGAAATTATCCCAACTTAACCTGTTTTCGAGGTACTTAGTAATTTTACTTAAAGGCAAACACTGTTGTCAATTTATTAAATAACTTTCCAGAAAAAGTCTCAGTGTGTGTTTGTGTATACAGACATACGAAATTTTACTATTTTTTTGGAGGCATACTATGTTCTTGCCCTGTAATTTGATCTTTTCACTAAGCAACATATATTGTACTCTATATCAACATATATGGAATTACTTCATTCTTCTTTTAGCACCAGCCTAGTATTTCTTTGTAGGACCCCAACATTATATAGAAAATCCCTATTTAAATTGCTTTCTCTACATATATGTACATCATGTCACACATGTAAGAGTTTTGTAGGATAAATCTCAAGACGTGGATTTGTTGAGTCAAAGTGTATGTGAATTATAAAATTTAGTAGATTGCCAAATTGCTGTCCATAAAGGTTATACTACTTTATACTCCCATCAGTAATGAATAAATATATGTTTCCCCTCAGCCTGGAAAATACTGCATATAATCAGTTTGTCTATCCATTTCATACAGGTCTCATAAATTATAGTTGAGCAAAGTGGTCTTTTATGACTTTTAAATTTATTCTGATGGTATCTGTAGCAGTATATCTTGGTTTGGATGTTGTGCTTTTGTCTATTTTGCATGGAAAAGTCAACCTTTTGTCCTTCCTTTCTTACTTTCTCTAATTTCATAATTTGGTAATTTCTTATATTTTCTTGATTAACTCCTTCCATTTTGTAAATTTGTGTGTATGTGGTGTGTGTGTGTGTGTGTGTGTGTGTGAGAGAGAGAGAGAAAGAGAGAGAGAGAGAGACCTCTGTATGTTTCTTGATTTAAATATACTATATAAATTCATCACCATAAATAATCAGGGCATTTTAGAAATGAGGAAAAGACAAAGGTTCACAGAGATTTAACACTTTCCTGGAGGGCACACAGCTAGATAGGATAAAACCTAAAACTGTTTGATTTTAAATCTAAACTCTCCTGACTACACCAGGAGCTTTCTGATTAAAATCACAGTGTCAACACAATTTAATCAATATTTTGCATAATATTTTATATGTCAAAATACTGTATTTAAAAGAAAAAAATTTATGCATATTTGTTCACATTTAGAACAGAACAGAAATTTCTTAAGCAATTTACTTAAAAAAATTCATCTCTACCCAATTTTATGTGGCATGAAATATAATTTCTACTTTGCAGTTGAGAATCAAAGGCTTAAACAGATAAGTTGAAGTCTTATATACAAGTCTTATGAGAGCAGAAGCTGGTATTTCAACCCAGGTCTGATATCAAAGTCCTGGGTCTTAATTGCAAAGTTGCAATGTTGTCAAACTCTGTTGAATAAAATAAATTATTTCAATGCAAATATTTCAGTTAATGAAGAGGGAGGGGGAAGTTGAGGAGGACATGAGGAATAATATAAATGACTCTTTTTCAGAGTATGATTTGACTGACAAAGTGAGTCCATTAGGTAAGAGTTAGATGAGTCTTAGGTGTCTGAGATTTCTTAACATAAACAGCAAAAATGAGTAACTATGAGAGAAATGTAGTAATGCTCAGGAAAAAAAGATAACTTTTTACCAGCAAGGAAAAGTACTTCATTCAGTTCCCTCGAGATCATCAGGAGAGAACTAAGTAGGTTCCAGATAGAGTGATTGGAATTTAAAGGTAATAGTCATCTATTGATTGGAAATAGGTATTAGGTAAATTTTAGTATTAAATGTAAACTTCTGAAATATTATCTTAAACTATAATTAATACTGAAGAGTGGTACATCCCTAAAAATAGAGAATGCTTAATAGTCTTAATAAGAACATTAAAGGTAAATGTAAATGGTAACAGTTACTGTTGAAAATTCCTAGTAGATAAATCATAGGTATCTGCATTAAAATCATATTTGACATTATATTCCTTTGTCAAGCTTAGCAAGGATTAGTTAATTATGTTAAAATTTAATTTATATTTTTTAATATGTGAAGAAAGTTCACATATAAAATTCTACTTTTTATTAGGAGTACATAACTGGGACACCTCTTACTTTTTTGTCTAATGGAAATGTACATTCTTTTATCTTCACTGGTCATAAAAGGCAATAAGACATGGTAGAAAGAGTTTTGGATATAGAACAATATATGGCTGTGTTTGAATCCTGGATTATGCAGTTATGGAGAAATATATTAGCATCTCAGTTTCAGTTCCCTTATCAGGAAAAGGGAAAAGCATAATAACAAAATCTTAGATTTGTGATGAGAATTTCAAATAAGTTGGAAAAAGTGCCTAGCAAATGATAGGTACTCAATTATTATAAGCCTGGAGCTAGCTAATAGGACATCCCTCTATGGAGCTGATCAATAAAACTTATGCAACCCTAGAATCACAGCTAAAATAACTGAATAATTCATTCTTTCATTCATTTGTTCATTTTGTATGCCAATTACATTCAATGCCAAGCACATTCCAATATCAAGGCTTGAATATTTGCTTCCTCTGAAGTGCTCTTTTCCACATACTCACATGACTAATTCTATCTTCTTTGGTCATCCTTAAAAATAGCACCTATTTGAGTCAGGCTCCCCTTCATTTTGTTCATTACTACCTAATACTTTAGATGCTTATCTTTTATTATCTATATTGACGATGAGAATATAAGCTTCACAAAAGCAGGGAGCTTTTATTTATTTATGGCTATATAAACAGTGCCTTGAATTTTGTATGACACATTGCAGGTGACTATAAATATGCTTGATGATGAATACTAACCCAGAGAGAAAGGAAGCAAGTAATAATCTACAAAACAATCAGAAAACAACAAAATGGTACTAGTAAGTCTTTGCATATCTGTAACTACATAGAGCAAAAGAATAGATTTTTAAAAAAAGAATTATGCTGCCTATTAGACTTACTTTGCCTGAAAAGACACTCATAAAGTGAAGAAATAAAAAAAGTACCCATGTAAATGGAAACCAAAAGAGTGCAAGAGTAGTTATATTTATTTCTGAATATTTTATGCCATACAGCAATATGTGCTTCTCATTTATGACTGTCATAAGTTATCCTTTTAAAGGGGTTGAACTCAGTGACATGATAGAATAGGAGGCCCCTGTCTCTCTATCCATGAATTCATCAAATAGCCTTCTATTCATAAATCATCTCTCTCTGAGAAAAAGTAAAAAACCAGTTGGGAGACTCCTACTCACAGGACAACTAAAAAAATCTACACCAGATGGGTAGAAAAATCTGTCACCCTCAGACACAGACCTTGCTCCAGACAAAGAGCTATACAACCAGGAAAGAGGAGCCCAACACCCCAGCTTCTCCATGTGGAGAGAAAGATTTGAACCTTACATACAGTGCCCTAACTCTAAGGTTCCCCACAGTTTGGCCCTTAATTCAGCAACCCTGGGAATGGAGACGATTAGGCATATGTAAGTCTCTATAGCCCACAGGAAAAAACAGCAGTTTTCTATGTGAGTGGAAGTACTTCCAGGAGCCTCATTCTCTGGGAGAAGTGCACTCTTCCAGTCTCTGCCTGGCAGCCTGGCTTCTAACTGACTTACATAGGAGAGTTGAAGGGGCAAATAGTAGCCAACTGAGAAGCAGATTGCCCCATCCTGAGCCTTCTCCTTGGCTTGCCCCAACAATAGCTCCAGGTTTATTAATCTTTTCTGGAAGGAGTTTGTCCATATATTGAGCACTTCAACTTTTATATCTTCCACCCCATAAACTGCATCTTAAATCTCATACCTCTGGGAGCAGAGGGAACTAGGTATACACAAATTTCTCTAGACCACAGCAAAGAGCAACCGTTTATATAGATGTATAAGCACTTTCAGAGGCTTCATCCTCAAGGAACAATGCAGAGAGGGAACTCTAAAAATGAAGTTTCTTACTTCTCTCCAGAAGGGGTTTATCCATATATTGAACAGTCCAGCTTTTACAATTACTACCTGAGTATCAGGGGAACCCACCCCCAATATTTCAATGTATGTTCTTTCCATTTTCCCTAAGTGTCGGCCAGTCTCAGAAATAAAGAGAAAGAGTATAAAGAGAGGAATTTTATAGCTGGGCCACCGGGGGTGACATCATGTATCGGTATGTCTGTGATGCCCACCTGAGCCACAAAACCAGCAGGTTTTTATTAAGGACTTCAAAAGGGGAGGGGGTGTATGAACAGGGAGTAGGTCACAAAGATCACATGCTTCAAAGGGCAAAAGGCAGAGCAAAGATCACATGCTTCTGAGGAAACAGGACCAGGGCAAAAATCAGAAACTCCTGATAAGGGTCTATGTTCAGTGGTGCACGTATTGTCTTGATAAACATCTTAACAGAAAACAGGGTTCGAGAGCAGAGAACCAGTCTGACCTCAAATTTACCAGGGCTGGGGCTTCCCAATCCTAGTAAGCCTGAGGGTACTACAGGAGACCAGGGCGTATCTCAGTCCTTATCTCAATCACATAGAACAGGCACTCACACAGCGGCCACTTATAGACCTCCCCCCAGGAATACAATTCTTTTCCTAGGGTCTTAATATTATATTCCTTGCTAGGAAAAGAATTTCATGATATCTCTCCTACTTGTACGTCTGTTTATAGGCTCTCTGCAAGAAGAAAAATATGGCTCTATTCTGCCCGACCCCGCAGGCAGTCAGACCTTATGGTTGTCTTCCCTTGTTCCCTGAAAATTGCTGTTATTCTGTTCTTTTTCAAGGTGCACTGATTTCATGTTGTTCAAACACATGTTTTACAATCAATTTGTACAGTTAACGCAATCATCACAGGGTCCTGAGGTGATGTACATCCTCAGCTTATGAAGATAACAGTATTAAGAGACCCGTTTGGGGTCCCTGACTTCCTGCAACACCTGAAGGACTCTGGAAACAGGAAATATTAGGCAAATGTAAGTCTCCTTATGTCACAAGACATAAAGTTGGTTTTAAATGGGTGTGCAAGTGCTTTCAGATGCCACACCCTCTGGGAGCAATGCAGAAAAGACAATGGAATACAGTACCTACTTGATGGACTGGCTTCTAACAAACTTTCATTGGGGAGCTAAGTGGGACATACAAACAGTAGCCACATGGCAGCTTGAGCCAGAGCTCAGCACTTCCTAAACTTTTCTTCCAGCTTGCCCCAGTGATAAATCCAGGTCTACCCATTCTTCCTGGAAAAAGTTTGTTTATGCACCCACTGCCACAACTTTTAAAGATCCCACCCCAAAGTCTGTCTCCTCAATAGTGTAAATCTGGGAGTTAATGGTGCTTTCCATTCCTGAGTAGCCCTAAACCCCAGAAAACCAAAAAGATGGGCATACAGTGGGCCTGCTTCCAGCAGCTATCTCCCCAGAATCAGAGGGTGAAGCCTTAACTCAAGCACAGACATTAGTCACAGATCATCTCTTTAAATTAGTTTAGTAGATTAGCATAGAGAGATTGGGACATAAACACCCATATTAGTTTTATGAGGAGGATAGAAGGAAATGGAATGTTCAACACCCCAACCTTTCCAGTTACATCTAAAGGGTCTGGCTTCTGCCTTATTGATCTTAGAAATACTCACAGGACATGGCACATTGTAATCTCTAGGGAATCACCAAAAACAGAGATAGCGGTTTGTATAAACACAAACATTTGAGAGGCACCTTAAAACAATGACCAGAAAAGATTCATGAAATCTTTCTTCTATACCAGGGCAGTCTGACAAGCCTGGGAGAGGCATTGTGTTATATAATGCACAGAAACCAACATGAAGAGTTGGAAAATAAAGAGAAGGCAAATAAAAGAAAATGAAGAAACAAGGATTAATATATCAAATAAAAATTTACCTACAAAAAAAGGCTAATTCTCCAGCAACTGAGCTGAATGAAGTGGAGATATGTGATATATCCAAGAAAGAATTCAAAATAATGGTAATAAAGGGGCTTATAGAGGTAAGGAGAGCAATGTAGCAACAAACCTACAATTTAAATAAAGAGATAGGAATTATAAAAATGTACCAAACAGAAATCATAGACTTGAAGAATTCTATAAATAAACTGAGATACTGAATAGAGAGTTTTAACAACAAACTAAACAGAAGAAATCAGTACACTCAAAGCTAAGCCACTGGAAATCATTCAATCTTGAAGCAAAAAGAAAAAATGAATTAAAAAAAAACAGTGAGACAGCATAAGAGACTTTGTGGCATTTAATAATCAAACTCCCAAAGATCAAGTATTTAAAAAGGATACTAAAAGAAGCAAAAAAAAAAAAAAAAAAAGAAAAAAAAGAAACACATAATACACAATGGAGCTGTAATACATCTGATGACAGACTTTTTAGTGGCGATCTTACAGGCTAGGAGACAGTGGCACGACATATTTGAAGTGTTTAAGGAAATAAAAACAAAACAACTTTTACCCTAGAATAATATATCTGGCAAAAATATCCTTCAAACATGAAGGAAAAATAAAGATTTTTCCAGAAAAAGAAAAGCTGTGGAATTTCATCAACACCAGACCTATCCTATAAGGAATGCTAAAGAGAGTGCTTCAATCAGAAAGAGCAGAATGTTAGTGAGCGATAAGTAATCACCTAAAGGTACAAAGCTCACTGGTAATAGTAAGTAAAAAGAAAGACACAGAATATTTTAACACTGTAACTGTGGTATGTAAACTACTCTTATCCTAAGTAGAAAAAAAAAACAATGAATCAAAAATAATACAACTTTTCAAGACATACATAGTACAATAAGATAAAAATATAAACCAAAAAAGTTAAATAGCAGAGTGACAAATTAAGGCATAGAACTTTAGTTAGTTTTCTTTCTGCTTTTGCTTGTTTGTGCAAACAGTGGTAGGTTTTTATCAGATTAAAATAGTGGCTTATATAAGATAGTATTTGCAAACCTCATGGTAACCTCAACCCAAAAACATACAATGAATACACAAAAAAAGAAAAAGAAAACAAATCATATCACCATAGAAAAGCATCTTCACTACAGGAAGACAGTGAGAAAAAGAAGTGAACACCACAAAACAACAAGAAAAAACAATGAAATGGTAAGAGTAAGTTCTTACTTATCAATAATATTGATGTACATGGATCAAATTCTCCAATCAAAAGACATAGACTGGTTGGATAAATAAAAGCACAAGATCTATTGATTTGTTGCCCTCAAGAAACACACTTCACCTATAAAGACACACATAGACTGAAGATTAAAAAAAATAATTTAAAAAGATATTCCATGCTAATGGAAACAAAAAAAGAGATCAGGAATAGCTACACTTATATCAGACAAAGCAGATTTCCAGACAAAAATTATAAGAAGAGACAAGTCAGTTGATTACATAATAAAATGGTCAATTCAGCAAGAGGATATAATAATTTTAAATATATATGCTCCCAACAGTGGAAAGCCCTGATATATAAAGAAAATATTAGAGCTTAAAAGAAAGATAGACCCCAATACAATAATAGCTGAAGACTTCAACACCTCACTTTCAGCACTGCACACATTTCCAGATGGAAAATCGTCAAAGAAACATCAGACTTTATCTGCACTGTAGACCAAAATTGATCTAAAAGTTATTTACAGAGCATTTCATGCAACAGCTGCAGAATACACATTCTCCTCAGTACATGGAATATTCTCAAGAATAGGCCATATGTTAGGTCACGAAACAAGTCTTAAAACATTCAAAAAACTTGAAATAATATCGGCCATCTTCTCTTAACAAAATGGAATAAAACAGAAATTAACAAGAGGAATTTTGGAAACTATAAAAATACATGGAAATTAAACAACATGCCCCTGATTGTACAGTCGGTCAATGAAGAAATTAAGATGAAAATTTAAAAACTTCTTAAAACAAATGATAATAGAAACACAACATACCTAAACCTATAGGACACAGCAAAAGCAGAACTAAGAGGGCAGCTGATAGCTATTAAGTACCTACATAAAAAAAAAAAACCCTCAAATAAACAATCTAATGATGTATCTTCAAGAACTAGAAAAGCAACAACAAATGAAACCCTAGATTAGTAGAAGAAAAAAGTAATAAAGATCAAAGGGGAAAAAAGTAAATTTGAAATGAAGAAAACCATGGAAAAGATCAATGAAACAAAAAGTTGGTTTTTTGAAAAGTTAAATAAAATTGGAAAGCCTTTAGCCAGACTAAGAAAAAGAAAGAAGATACAAATAAATAAAATCAGAAATGAAAAAGGAGACATTACTACTAATACTGCAGAAATTCAAAAATCATCAGTGGCTAAACAAGAGCAGCTATATTCCAAAAATTGGGATGAAATGGACACATTCCTAGACACATTCAATATACCAAGATTGAACCAGGATGAAATCCAAAAACTAAATACACCAATCACAAGTAACAAGACCAAAGCCATAATAAAAAGTCTACCAGTAAAGAAAAGCTCAGGACCCAGTGGCTTCACTGCTGAATTCAACCAAACATTTGAAGAATAACTAATACCAATCCTACCCAAACTATTCTGAAAAATAGAAGAGAAGAGAATACTTCCAAAATCATTCTTTAAAGCCAGTATTAATCTGACATAAAAACCAAACAAAGATACATCGAAAAAATGAAAACTACAAGTCAATATCCCTGATGAATATTGATGCAAAAATCCAGAACAAAATACTTTCCAACTGAATTCAGCAATACATCAGAAAGATCATTCATCATGACCAAGTGGAATTTATCTCTGGGATGCAAGGATGACTCAACATATGTAAATAAATGTGATACATCATATAAACAGAATAAAAGAACAAAACCATATGATCACTTCAACTGATGCTGGAAAAATATTTGATAAAATTTAACATTGCTTCATCATAAAATCCCTTAAAAACTGGGTATAGAAGCTACATACCTCAATGTAATAAAAGCCATATATGAGAGACCTACAGCTTGTATCATACTGAATGGGGAAAAAAGAAAGCCTTTCCCCTAAGTTCCAGAGCATGACAAGGATGGTTACTTTCATCCTGGAAGTCAAACAAAAGGCATCCAAATTGAAAAGAAAGAAAGAAAATTATTCTTGTTTACAAAGAATATTATCTTACATTTGGAGAAACCTAAGGACTCCACAAGAAAACTATTGCAATTGATAAACCAATTCAGAAAATTGAAGGATTCCAAATTAACGTACCCAAATGAGTAACATTTTTATACACCAATAGTAAGCAATGTGAAAAACAAAAATTAAAAAGTTATTCTACTTAAAATAGCCACAAATAAAATTCTTAAGAATGAACCAAATAAGTGAATGCTTTCTACAATAAAAACTATAAAAAACTGATGAAAGAAATTGAGAGGACACAAGAAATGGAAAAATAACCCATGTTTATGAACATGTATAGAAAGAATCAGTATTGTTAAAATGTCCATACTACCCAAAGTAATCTGCAGATTTAATTCAATCCTTGTCAAAATACCAATGAGATTCTTCACAGAAATAGAAAAAAAATCCTAAAATTTGTATGGACCTTCAAAAGACCCAGAATACCCAAAGCTATACTAAGCAAAAAGAACAAAACTGGAGGAATCACATTACCTGGCTTCAAATTATAGTACAGAGCTATAGTAACCCAAACAACATAGTACTGGTATAAACACAGACACACAGACCAATGGGAACAGAATAGAGAACCCAGAAACAAATCCACATACTTACAGTGAACTGATTTGTGACAAAGGTACCAAAAACATACACTGGTGAAAAGAAAGTCTGTTCAATAAATGGTGCTGAGAAAACTGGATACCCATATGCAGAAGAATGACACTAGACCCCTATCTCTCACCATTTTCAAAAATCAAATCAAAATGGAATTCACAGAATGGGAGATAATATTTGCAAACTATCCGTCTAACAAGGGATTAATTACCAGAATATATAAGGATCTTAAACAATTCTACTTTTTTTTTTTTTTTTGAGATGGAGTCTCGCTGTCTCCCAGGCTGGAGTTCAGTGGTGCAATCTCGGCTCACTGCATGGGAGCTTAAACAATTCTATAGGAAAAAATGTTAATATCTGATCAAAAAATGAGCAAAAAATTTGAACAGACATTTCTCAAAAGAAGACAACAAGGGGCAAACAGGCATATGAAAAGGTGCTCAGCATCATTGATCATCAGGGAAATGCATATCAAAACTACAATGAAATATCATCTCATTCCAGTTAAAATGGCCTATGACCAAAAGACAAGCAATAACAAATGCTGGCAAAGATGTGGAGAAGAGAAGGAACCCTCCTACCCTATTGGTGGGAATGTAAATTAGTACAAACACTATGGAGAAGAGTTCAGAGCTTCAAAACTAAAAACAGAGCTATGCTAGTTCCAGCAAGCCTACCATTGGATATATACCCAAAAGAAAAGAAATCAAGTATTAATGTGATATATGCACCCCATGTTTGTTGTAGCACTGTTGTTTCACAACAGTTAAGATTTGGAAGCAACCTAAGTGCCCATCAGCAGATGAATGGATAAAGAAAACACAGTACATATACATAATGCAGTATTCTGTAGCCTTACTAAAAGAATGAGATCCTGTCATTTGTAACAACATGGATGGAACTGGAGATTAACATGTCAAGTGAACTAAGCCAGGCACAGAAAGACAATCATCACCTGTTCTCACTTATTTGTGGGTTCTAAAATTTAAAACAATTGAACTCATGGACATAGAGAGTAGAGAAATCAATACCAGAGGCTGGGAAGGGTAGTAGGGATGCTGGGAGGGAGATGGAAATGGTTAATGGGTACAAAAAATTTAGTCAGAATGAGTAACACACACTGTATTTGATTGTACAACAGGGTGACTATGGTCAATAACTTAATTGTACATTTAAAAATAAATGAGTAAATGAGTGTAACTGGATTGTTTGTAACACAATAATGTTTGATGGGATGGATACCCTATTTTCCATGATACGATTATTTCACATTGCATGCCTGTATCAAAACATCTCCTGTACCCCACAAATATATAAACCTACTATGTACATGCAAAATTTTGAAAAATTAAAAAATAATTTTGATTCACCAAGTTGACAGAATGACAAAATCCATATAATCATTTTAATATATATGGAAAAAATCACCATGTTCACATAATAAATAACAAAATCCATATAATCATTTTAATAGATATGCAAAAATCATTTGGGAAAATTTAACATCTTTTCATGATAAAAACTCTCAACACGTTAGGTACAGAAGGAATGTTCTTCAACACAAGAAAGGCTATTACAAGCCCACAGCTATCATATTAAATAATGAGAAGTTGACACTTTTTCTCTTAAGTTAGATACAACTCCAGGATGCCTACTCTCACGACTTTTGTTCAATATAGTACTTTGAAATACTACCCAGAGTAAGTAGACAAGAAAGAGAAATAGGAGGCATTCAAATAGAAAAGGAAGAAGTGAAATTATCTCTGTTTGCTTATGACATAAACCAATATATAGAAAAACCTAGAGACTCTATAAAGTTTAGAATTGATAATGAAATTCATAATAGTTACAGGATACAAAACCAACACCTAAAAGTGAGAAGCATTTCTATACACTAAAAAAAAACTATCTAAATGATTAAAGTAACAATCCTATTTATAATAGCATTAAAAGAAACAAATTACTTTAGATTAAATTTAACCCAGGAACGAAAAGATCTGTGTACTAAAAACTATGAAACTTTGATAAAAAATTGAAGATGACACAAGTGAAAAGATATCTTGTATTCATGGATTGAAATAATACTGTTATTATGTCTATACAACCCAAAGTTATTTACAGATTCAATTGAATCCCTATTAAAATTACAATGTCATTCTTCACAGGAATAGGAAAAAAAAAATTCTAAAATTTGTATGGCACCACAAAGGACCTTGAATAGCCAAAGCCATCTTAAGCAAAACAAGCAAACCTTTAGTAATTAAAACAACATGGCACTGGTATAAAAATGTACATAATCAACCTATGGACTAGAATAAAGTGCCCAGGAATAAACTCACATATTTGTGGCCAATGGATATTTGACAAAGGTGCCAGAACACAAAATGTGGAAAAGATAATGCAGAAGAAACAGTCTCTTCAATAAATGGTGCTAGGAAAAATTGGATATACACATG
Source organism: Homo sapiens (assembly GCF_000001405.40). Lineage (NCBI taxonomy): Eukaryota > Metazoa > Chordata > Mammalia > Primates > Hominidae > Homo > Homo sapiens. Next base: position 68,377,823 of record NC_000006.12, on the reverse strand, counting down.
CTGAGGAATAAAATTTGATTTTTATCCTACCCAGTATAAAAGAACCAACTCAAAATAGATTAAAGACTTAAAATTTAAACCTGCAAATGTAAAACTACTAGAAGAAAACCTAAGGGAAAAGCTTCATGACATTAGTTAGACAGTGATTATCTTGGATAAGAGCCCAAATGCACAGGCAACAAAAGCAGATACTAACAAATGGGATTGCATTAAACTAAATAGCTTAAGCACAGCAAAAGAAACATTTCAGAGTGAAGAGACAAGCCATATATTGGGAGAATATATTTGCAAATCATACATTGGACAAAGGGCTAATATAAAAAAATCTAAGAAACTCAAACTACTCAATAACAAGAAAACAAATAACCATATTAAAAATGGGCAAAGGACTTGAATAGATATTTCTCAAAAGACGACATACAAAGGGCCAAAAGATATAGGAAAAAGTGCTCAACATCTTTAATCAGAAAAGTTAATTAAAAGCACAATAAGATATCACTTCATACCTGTTAAATTGGCTATTATAAAAAAGATGACAGATAAGTATTGATGAGTACTGTGGGAAGGTGAGCCCTTGCACACTGTTGGTATTTTAAATTAGTACATCCATTTTGGAAAGCTTTTATGTTTTTTCCTTAATAAACTGAAAATAAAATTATGATCCAGAAATCTCACTTCTGGGTTTAAGTCAAAGGAATTGAAATCAGTATCATTGAAGAGGTATCTGCACTCTCATGATCATAGCAGCATTATTCATAATAACCAAGATATGGAAACAACTGAAGTGACCACCAATGGACAAATGGATTTAAACTGATATATATGTACAATGGAATACTATTTAGTCTTAAGAAAGCTGGAAAGTCTGTCATTTGTGAAAACATGGAAGAACTTAGAGAACATTCTGCTAAGTGCAATAAACTAGGCACAGAAAAACAAACACCATAAGATCTCACTTATATGTGGAATCTAAAAAAGTCAAATTCTTAAAAGTAGAATATAAAATGGTGGTTACTGGAGGCTGAGGATGTGGGGAAAGGGGTCACTGGTCAAGGGGTACAAAGTTTTGGTTAGATAGAAGGAATACATTATGGTGGTTTATTGCAGAGTATGGTGACTGCAGTCAATAATTATGTATTGTATTCTTCAAAATAGCTAAAAGAGAGGAGTTTAAATATTCTCAGCACAAAGATGATAAATATTTGAGGTGATGGATATGTTAATTAACTTGATTTGACCATTTCATAGTGTATACATATACCGAAACACCATATTTTACCCCATAAATATATGTAATTTATCACTTAAAACTTTAAAATGATATATTTTTACAGTATTCTTTAAGTTAATATGCTGATTCATATTTGTGAATACAAAATATTTATTTCCCCATTTCAATTTTCAGTATTTTTGACATTTTGAATAATGCTATAGTGAACATCTTTGTATATTAAAATTATTGCCTAATTATGATAGTTTCCTTAGGATAAAATCCTAGAGCACAATAGCTTGATAAAATGATTCATATGTTATGCCTTCTGAAATATTTTGACATAATCAGTCACTGGCAGCAGGTATCCCAGTACTCTGCTGCTAATAACTCAAGAGATTTTTTTTAATTGAATGTGTAGGCTTTTGAGTAAAGAAAGATGATGAAATATATAGAAAAAAGTTCAGAGAAATGAGGTGGTCCAGGTGCTGGAGTAAGCACTTGTATACAAAGGGTTAAAATCGTGAAGTTGATCACTATCAACATTACAATAAGGAAGACAATAGGTAATAACAAGTGTAGATGAGTGTGGTCAAAACCATAGGTAGAGAATAAGATTTTAAAGGTAGGTTTTGGGATAGCCTTTGTCTGTTCATACAGAAACCAATGAATGCCTAAATAGACAATAGATTAAAACGCCCAATCAACAAATATGACATCCTATTTTCAACTACGACAATCAATATTAATATTAATGTAAAGGTGTTTCTAGTGTTTGTGCTATTTAGCCTATATATACCATCTAAACTGCTAATGACATCTTAGTGTTAGAAAAATTACAAAATATTTCCTGTTTTTTTTCAACACATTCTTCATTTAAGATATAACAATATGGAATTCCCACAATTTGTATTATTAAAGGGACATATCAAGAATTCTAAAAAGTTTCCTCTGCTTTCCAAAGCTCAAATCCACTTAAGCATGCTATTAATCAACGCCTTTTAACTGTTCATTTATTAAGCACCTGATAAGTGCAAAATACTGCCCTAATTATTATCTGACCTAGAATAAGGTAAATCATTTTTTCTGTTCTTGGAAGATTTTCATCTCTTTGGGAAGAAGAGCTGTAAGTACAGGAAGTAACAATGAAGGCTTAATAAATGTTCAAAGGAAAAGTAATGTAATGCATAATACTAATATTCCTAATAACAGACAAAAATGGGACTTGAATATAAAAGTGAGAAGGATAATTTAAGTTCCTGGAAAGATATTACAGAGAAGGTAGGATAGTAGAATTTGGATAGAGTTAAATGAAAGAGATGATATTATGTCAGGTGAAATGGCATAACTTAAAAAATAATAATAAATGTAAAGAAAATAAGTGTAAAAGAAAAAAGTCATGTTCCCCTCATGGAGAAGAAACAGTTTGGGTGAAGTGGATGGTAAATGTAGAAAATCAAAGTCAGATGACATTGAAAGACACAATACACACATAAAACATTTGTTAGAATACTACAAAAAGTGACTGCAACTTTTACAGTGTTTTTGTCCCATCGATATGCATGTTTTATTTTAACAGTGATCCACATGCTTTTGTAAAGAGTTGTAAAGACACGGGTTGATCCATTAATGAAGTTAATTGACACTAACTGATTGCTTTCACCTTAAACCAGAAGGTTCATAAAATGTTTAGCCATTTACTTCATTGCTGCATTGGAAGCACAGTTAATAGGAAGAAGCTGTATAAACAATGGAACCCAGAACAATTTAATGGGTTAACAATATTTTACAAACTCAGAAGTTGTGATTCCTAATCCTGCTCTTATAGTTAACAGAGCATGTGGTGTTTCTGCATTAGTTTCTCTGGTTATAAAATAGCTGTTTTCCTCAACTCTCAAGGGGATCCTACAAAATCAATTGAATAACGACAGATAAGTACTTTGAGCTTCTTGGAGAGAAAACTAAATCTTATAATTGCCTTCTTCCACCACCTTCATTTTATTTTATAGACTGAACTGGAGTAAATATAAGAGATGGATTAATCTTATCTCCTTTTATTTTTCTCTCAGTAAATTACACACAAAAAAAGGAATTGTCACAGAAATGTAGCACATAAAAATTTTGTTCTTGAATAATAAACACATGATATAACTAGTAATTAAATGAATTCTGTGACACATTAAAAAATGAAGCATAACTCTTTATAATCCAGCTCATAGCCAAAACATATCTGAAGTATGCTTTTATGTTATAATTCAGTTTTAGAATGATTTGTATACATTCTTTTCCTTTTCCAGAAGTGATAATGTACTTTCACTGATTTACCTATAGTTTTTTTGTTCAGATTCAACTTTTATTTATGGCAGAGATTTTTTAAAAAGTACTTAAATGTAAATGTATTATCCTTGGGCATTGAGCAGTTCTCCATGTAGCACTAACAAATTGATTGTATCTTTTAAGGTTATTTTCGGTACATGCAATAGGAAGCAATTGACTTTAGCCTACTTACACACCAAGGAGATTTATTTTAACATTATATGGTATTCAAAAGGCAAAGGAAGAATGAAGTAACAAAGTCTCTGTAAGGGCAGTTACCAAAACAGCTCTAGGGATAAGGAGTTCCTAAGTAGTTATAAACAAGGCATTGTTCATCAGGTTGCCTCATCTCCCATGAAATTCCTATCTGTATTCCTGAGAAGGGGCTGAACTGATTGACCCACCTCGAATCTAACCTATAACAGTTTGACTCTGTGCAGAAGGCAGGATTAGGTTCCCTGAGGCTGTATCTAAAGTAAGAAGATTTGTTGGGTGCCTAGAATCCACCACATTTGGTGACTACTGGAATTCTTATGATCAAAGACATTTTAGTTCTCTCTAAATAAACTCATCTCTAAGATACGTTAAAGGATAGTTTAATAAAAACAGCTTTAGCAAGAATAAGTGCCATTGGAAGTATAAAAGAGGACATCTCCTGAGAACTAGGGAAAATACATTTGTCATGATTCAAACCAATCTGTACAAGTCACTTTAAAAATTTAAATGATTGACTCTCTTAAAAGAAAGGTTTTGCAAGGTAGAATACTATAGAAAATAAAAGGCAAGAAATAGAAAGGAAAATAAAGCAAACAATGGTAAAAGAGCCAAATTCCAGCATGTCATTTGGAATCATCAGAAATCTAATCAGGAAACATACAAAGGGGCTTAGCTGTGAAGATAAAAATACTGAGAACAGATAATACATACCACCAAAAAAAGACATTTTAGCACAATTCAGTTAATATCATTTCATATCCATCATGGAAACTTTTTAGGGAAGTGGCCAAAGACAGGATTAATTTAATCGTTTTCTTAAAAAGGCAGAAGAAACACAAGTGATGAAGGAGTATTCCTGCATGCAAAGGAGATATGCAACTGAACGGAAATCCGTGGGTCTGAGGGTGGATCACAGTAGAGAACATTTGGTTGAGGATAAAATGAAAGAAAACCATAATTGATGCTGCTGTGGAAGTAGATGACAGCTCACTCAGTCTGGCAGATGCTTCCCTAATACAGATCGTGAAACTGTCACAAAAGCAAGATATAGCGGTAATGTGGGATTTCAAATATCTCTATATCTGCTGGAAGTCTAGTTTTGTAAAAAGCAACAAATCTGATAAATCCAGTAGTGGTTGATAATGTCTTCTCTTCAGTAAGGTTGTCCCCATATGTCTATCTCTTCTGAATAAAGAGATCTTCCAACACAAACCAGACCTTTGAACTCCACCCAACAACTCCAATCTCATGTAAACAAAACCCCTTAACATGTTACAGAATGCTTCCTCCTCTACTGCTATTTATTAACACCTGGTTCTTTCCTAAGAAGATGGCTTCACTTTCAGTTCCTTAAGAGGAATTTTCTTAATTTTCCAAATCCTATGCAATGCAGGATGTGGATATACTTTGACAGTTTCTTACTTCATTGATGTTCTATCTAACATCAAGGTTGTTGAACAGAGGGTAAAAATGCAAAGTTTTCAGATTGTTGTAATTAAATACTGACTTTGTAATGTCACCTGGTCTCTAAACATGACCTGAACTTCCTTCTATGTGATCCTAACTTATCCCCCTTTCCCACTCACTGTAGCAGCTATGTTAAACTTTCATTTATGGTAAAGCCAAAATATATCATCCTCCTCTACTACAAAGGGAAGATAGAGACCCTCAAGTGAGAAGTTCTTAATCTTTCATGTCCCTGTGTCAGACAGGATACTTTTGGCTGGAAGTGGCAGAACCCCTTACCAAAAGTGGATTTAATGAGTAAGGATTTTTAAAAGTCATATGTAAGGTAAAGTTCCATAGTAGGTGATCCCAGAGTCAGTTCCGTTGTATAATATTGTCATTAGAGGCCCAACCACTTTTCCACCTGTGACAGATTCAAGAGCGTCCCCTCATGACCCCTAACTTCTAGTATTCATGACTTTGTCTAATCCCTTTTCCTGATGGGTGGGGCAGACATGTGACTTTCTTCTAACCAGTAGAATGTGGAAAAGGTGACAAGATATCGCTCTCATGGTTTTGTTATATAATCTTGCTAACAGACTTTCTTTAAAGACTCTCCTTGCTATCTTTAAAAAAGTAAGCAGCTATGCTTTGGAAACTCCTATGGCAAAAAGCTGAGGGCAGCCTCCAGGTAATGAGGAACAACACAAGCCAATAGGCAGCTAGAAACTCATGTGTTCAATCTTACAACCACAAGGAAATGCATTCTACCTACAACGTGAGTAAGGTTGGAAGCAAACTCTTCCCCAGAGCCTACAGATAAAGATTTCAGCCCTCATGAGACCCTAAGAAGAGGCCCCTGTGAAGCTGTGCCTAGATTCCTGATCCACAGAAACTGTGAGATAATAAATACATGTTGTTGTTAGACACTAAGTTTATGGTAACTTATCACCTAAGAGCCATTCTTGATCCTACCTGTCCTTGACATGCACAATTATCTGTCAATAATTCCTATTGGTTTACCTTCAAAGTGTAGCTATGATCTTTACCATAATCACTTTCAACGAAGCTAAGATAATGAAATAGCATTCTAATTATTCTCCTCATGTCAAGTCTCTCATGCAGATGGTGTAATCTTCAACCAACAGACAGAATGATCTTTAAAAAAAACAGAGTTAGATGATGCCATACACCCATGCACCACTTGTGCAAAATTTTTTAAAAATTTTCTATTCCCCTTAGAACAAAATTTAAATGTTTTGCCATGTCCTGCAAAAGCCTCAAGATCAGGTCGCTGGCTACCTCCTTAACCTCATGCATGTCCACTTTCCCTAAACTCATTCCTCACTGGCTTTCTTATCAAGATTGTTGTTCTGTTACAGGCTTTGACTTGATGCTTTGTTTTCATGGCACATTCTCTCTTCAATTATTCAAAAGTAATTATTAAATGTCCACCTTGTGCCATGTACTAGCCAGATGGTAGAAATTTAGCAGTAAACAAAACATTTTTTAAAAGGCACTCAATGTTGCCCTATATGAACTATTTGAATTATCAGATTGGATACAACTGGAAATAAATTTGAAAAATCTCCTGTTAAGAAAATCCAACATGCATAACCTGAACAGTCATTCATTTCACCCACTCTGCATCAAATCCAGGTAAATTCTATGCTTATGGATATCCATAATGATTTGGCCAAAGGTCAATTAGTGGGGAAAGCAAATAGAGACTATTAGATGAATTTTTTAAATTTATTCAATATATATTAATAGTTTATTCTTTCTTATGAAATTTCTGAGAACACTCAACACTGGCTTATTTCTCCTCCTTGCTCCTCCCATTGTAATTGATCAATTCCTGTTCATTTCTACTTGAAAGATAGCTTCCATAAGTTTCCTACTCTCTGGATGCAGGTCTTGCCATAGTGTAGGCCCTATCCTCAGGACATTTTTCCTACTTCTTTTCCATTATCATTCAAAGTACAAATAGAATTGTATGTTTTGGTAGAAGGGTACTAGACAAACTTTCTGATTTAGTTATTTTGGTCTCTGTTCTTCTTAGATACTTTATCACTGTCTTCATAAGGCACCTAAAATGTTGCATATGATTAACATACTTTTCTCCTCTACCAGATTGTTTGCAAGACCAGGTCTATATCATATTAATATTTTTTCTCCATAATCTAGAAGAGTGACATAATAGCCATCATGAGTATCTTAGAGGTATTAATGAATTAATTTTACTCTATCAGAAAAAAGTTGAACCCCTGCATTCTACTGATTTTTATCACTAGCACCATCTTCATTTTAAAAAGACATAATAACTGGTATTATTGGCAATATGATGCTAATTACACCTTTCTTTTTCTTATAAATTACTGACAGTTTAAATAACTAATTTTTAATGGAGACACTATTATCGCCAGTCAGTGTGGGTGGAAAAATTGGATCAGATAGTTTGAGAAATTTGACCTTTCAAAGAATGAACGAGACAGAAAATGTTTGTGATAAGCTAAGTACATATGACCTATACGAGTTTTCTTCTCTGCATTCCTGCCTGATTTCTTTACTTACTTATATTTCAAGGGCTTGTGGCTTTTTAATGAATTGGTACATCTCCCACTATTTTATAATTTACTGATTACTTGTGTTTGCTAATATAATAAACACACATTGAAATATATATATATTTAATTTTGTTCTTGTTTTTTCAATTTCTGTGGGTACATAGGTGTATACAGTTATGGGGTACATGAAATTTTTTGATACAGGCATGCAATGTGAAATAAGCACATATTGAAGAATGGTGTATCCATCCCCTTAATCATTTATCCATTGAGTTGCAAACAATCCAATTACATTCTTTAAGCTGTTTTAAAATATATAGTTATTATTGACTATAGTCACCCCATTGCACTATCAAAGAGTAGATCTTATTCATTCTTTCTATTTTCTTTTGTACCCATTAACCATTCCCTCCTCCCATACAACCCATTCTCTGGGAAGGGCTTTCTACTTTCTGTGACAATGAGTTCAATTGTTTTGATTTTTAGATCCCACAAATAAGTGAGGACATATGATGTTAGTCTTTCTGTGCCTGGCTTAAGTGGGTTTAAGTGTTTAAACCCCACCTTCCCACTCCTAATCCTAGCCATCCACTTATGGTTACTTCTTCCTATAATCTGTTCTGTCACACTATCCTATGGTACTACAAAAGGTCATTTCTAGATGAACACATGAGTTTGGAAGATTCAAAATAAATAGTCCAAAAGAAACAGCTCATTTTTTTTCTCTAAATTTAAATTCCCAAATACCAGGTTTTGCTTATACTGCCTCCTTCCCTTAGTTATTCCTTTCTTCTTTATTATCTTCTCCCTTCTCATCTCCCTTTCCCATTATGCCATTAAAGGCACATACAAGTTAAAATGAAGTCAGGGAAAAACAACAACAACATATGTCTATATTAATTTATTGTAGAGCCTGTCAGTGTTACTCATATTACAATAGATGTTTATACAGGTTAATTCTTTAAACTGACTGGAATTCATTATGCTTATTGCGGTTGTGATCCTAAAAAAATTCAAGTGATGATTCATTTCATCATGAGCCATTCTTTTCTCTTTAAATTTAATACTCTTTAAACAGAGTTAAGCAAAGAAAGGCAGCTTGACATTATTTGTAGAGTCATTTACTTATTTCCATTAATTTTTTTCTGAGTATATTTGGAAACTAGAATTGAGAAATATTGTAATTCAAGCACAAAATACTATCTCCTCAGGAGGAATATTATATCTTGAAAGGAATATTCTATTCATTATGTTGGGCTTTATGCATGAAATATATGACCAGAAATGGCATATCTGTTACTCATTTCATTAAAAGTTTTCAACAAATATTTACAGAAATCTTAATATGTGCTAATAGCTTTGGACCTGATTGGTCCATTGTAAAATATTACAGTATAATTCTATATCCTGACTATTTAATCTTTGTTCTTACTTTGTGTTGCCCTTGCCCTTGTCCTTGATAATTTTCTTCAGGAGATCCACTATGAAGGCCACTTTCTTTATGCCTGCATCCATGCTGGATAAAGAGCTATAGCCAAGCAGACCTGGCCTCCTTAATATTTATACAAACCAGCTGTAAGCTGGCCCTGACCACTGTTCAGCATGCCTGATATTTCTCCCTCATTGACTCCTTGGCTTATTGCTCTCAAAAATATTCCAAATCTCTTCAGCCTATAAACTTCCAATTTTTCCTCCTTAATCTCAGTTACAGCAGATCACTTATTTTATTGTGTATACTGGAACAATCCAGGACTCCTTTTGTTATTTCAGCAGCCCTCATATTTTTCTTCTATCCTTTCATACAGTCTTAGGAGTAGATTCTATTCTCCTCTTGTCCAAAACCCAGAGCTGTATTTTTAAGATTTTCTGGCATCCCAAGGAAACCTGGATATATATTAATGCCTTTGAGTTTAAGCATCTTAAATGTCACTCTACTTTTTTTATCTGCATATTTATTCAAATAACAAATGCTTACTAGGGTCTACTACAATAGACACTGGTCTATAAAGAAGAAAAATTATGCCTCCTGGCATTAAAGAGTTCATAAACAGATATTTAGGTAATCATATTATAATGTGGTGAGTGAAATACAAATATCAACAAATATTTTA